>NC_000007.14:112506779-112809809 GCF_000001405.40 Homo sapiens | reverse complement strand
CAGTAAAGTCAGCACAAGTCCTTCTCACATCACATCTCTGTGAACTCTCCTCTGTTGCTACATCTCTTTCTCTAGTTGCAGCTGGAAAGGTTTTCCCTTTTTAAGGACTTGTGCAATTTGATTGGGCCAATGTAGATAATCTAGAATAATCTCTTTAGCACAAATTTGTTAACCTAACTCATATGTGCAACATCCCTTTTGCTATGTAAAGTAGCTTATTCACAGGTTTCACGAATTAGGACATCTTTGTGAGGCCATTAGTCTGCCTATTCACAGGCTAATTTCACTTACAACTTAATGTCATACAACTAAATAAAATACTAAGAAATCACATAAAAGTAATATGACACAATTCATTACTACCCAAGAGGATTCTTTTCCTTCCAAGAGTGAATTCAGGTAAGTAATAATGTAAGTCGCTATATCCACCAAATTAACATATAAGTTAAAGAGAAAACTCAAATGATCATCTGGATTCTGGAAAAAGCATTTATTTAACACTTCCATATAATAAGCTTTAACTCAGATTAATAGAAGAAATCTTCCTTAACATCACAAAAGACATCTACCACAAACCTATAGAAAACCTCATATTTGATTAACAAACACTAGTAGCCTTTCATTAAAGACAGAAGAATCATGGTGCCCAATCTCACCATGACTGTTCAATGTTGAGCCAACAGACTTAGCTAATTCAGTAAGATAAGATAAATAAATGGGGTACAATAACTGGAAAGGAAGAGACAAGACTCATTATCTATAGATGGCATCATTGACTGAAAAGTGTAAATGAAATGGCTGAAAAACTACTAGAACTGCAAGAAACTTCAACAGTTTTCCTAAAAATCAGCAAAAACCAATTAGCAAATATAATGGAAAAAATCCTATTCAAGTTTGCAAAAACAAAACAATTATAAAAATACTTATCAATAAGCAAAATATTTAAAAAGTTTTGAGACCTATTTAAAGAAAATACTAAAACTTTACTAAAGAACAGAAGACTGCAGAGACTGCCAGCTTCCTGATGAGAAGACTAAACATCAAAAATATGTCTGTGCTTTGGGGAGATATCAAGATTTGGAAAATTGTCAAATCTTCCCCAAATTAACCTAGAACTCATTGCAGTCTCAATCAAAATTCAAATACAATTTTGTATGGATTTTATAAGCTAATTAAAATTTCATATGAAAGAAAAAATGGACAGGGATAACCAAGAAATTTTTTGAAAAAGAATAAAGGTGATGATATAAAAGCAGACTATGGGCCAGGTACAGTGGTTCATACCTGTAATCCCAGCACATTGGAAGGCCAAGGTGGGAGGGCCCCTCGAGTCCCAGTTTGAGACCAGCCTGGGCGACATAGAAAGATGCCATATCTACCAAAAATAAATAATTAGCTGGGCATGATGGCATGAACCTGTGGTCTGGAGCCTGTGAGATCAGGGATGCCGTGAGCCATAATCATGCTGCTGCACTCCAGCGTGGGGAACAGAGTGAGACTCTGTCTCTAAAATTAAAAAAGAAAGAAAAAGCCGGGTGCAGTGGCTCACGCCTGTAATCCCAGCACTTTGGGAGGCTGAGGTGGGCGGATCACGAGGTCAGGAGTTCGAGACCAGCCTGGCCAATATGGTGAAACCCCATCTCTACTATAAATACAAAAATTAGCTCGGCATGGTGGCGCATGCCTGTAGTCCCAGCTGCTCAGGAGGCTGAAGCAGGGGAATCGCTTGAACCCGGGAGGCGGAGGCTGCAGTGAGCCAAGATCGCACCACTGTACTCTAGCCAGGGCAACAGAGTGATACACTGTCTCAAAAAAAAAAAAAAAAAAAAAAAAAAGAAAGAAGGAAAAGCAAACTACAAAGCTACCATAATATAAATGATAGGAGATAAATGCAAATACATTAAAAGAAGAGAATAAAAAGTTCAGAAACTGTTCAATGTACTTATAGGAAGTTAGTATGACAAACATGACATTTCAAATCAGTAGACAAATAATGGACAGTTCAATAGCACTGATGGTAGACAATTCAATAAATAATAACCATGAACAAAAATGAGAACTGACAGTTCATGTAAAAGGAAATACAAATGGCAAAAAAGAAAATCAGGAGCTCAACCTCACCAGTCATGAAAAAATGAGCAAATTAAAACAACAAGGAAATACTATTTTTCATCCACCAGCCTGAAAAACTGAAAAATAAGATGTACTACTGATTACAGTTGTGGGGATATGAATATTCTCTTTCACAATTGGTGGAAATTTGGTATGAACCCAAAAAGCCTGTTTGGAGAACAATTTAGCAGCATAAGCATTTTGAATATGCACTTAACCCAGCAACTTCTACTCCATAAACTTATCACCATGTGTGCAAATTTTACACATTCACTGAAGCACTGTTCTTAATAATTAAAAACTGGAAAGCCTAAATGTCCATCAACAGAAAAATAGCTATATCAATCTTGGTAAATGTATTCTATAGAGTTTAAAAATTTTTTAAAAAGCACACACACACAGTGCGTCTCTACATTTGTTTTATGAATATCTCTGAGATGCATTGCTAAAAATGAAAAGAAAGCCAATAGCATTACTGAAGGAACATAACAACCAAACAAAAAAACAAAATTATACATTTGTAAAAGAACTCTTATTTAATGCATAGATAAAAGGGATGATTCTCAAAATTTAGTATGATTAAGAATGACCAAAGTGCAGCTTCCTAGTTCCTACTTCCAAGAGATTCCAATTCGGAAGGGCTGGGTTGATGCACAGGCACCTCCATTTTTAACTAGCTCCCCAGGTGGTTTGAAGCAAGGAGTTTACCAGGAACATTTTGAGAACTACTGACTTAGAAGGATATAGTATACTAAACAGTAATGCTGTGTTCCTGTAGGTATGGGAATGGCTTTGGCAAAGCACTGAAGAACTCCCACTCTTCACTCTGCATAGTTTTACTTGTTTGAATTGTGTGAATTAATGTAGTCAGTACATTTTAAAATTAAAATAACGGCAGGAAAATAAATGAAAAAAATGTGAAGTGTCTTTACTCACTTGACAGATAAAATCTATGAGAATTCAAAGGAAGACACCATTTGCACCTATGGTACTCAGGGACAACTTCCTAGAGCAAGTGGCATTTGAAATGAGCTTTGAAGGAAAAGCTAAGGTTATAGGACAAGTAAAGCAGAAAACATATTCTAGGCAGAGAAATGGATGAGAACACAGAGAGGGGAAATGAGGGCCCTTAATTAGGGAGCATTTCCAGTTGATAGAGTTTAGGGCAGTAAAGAGAAATATTAGGAATAAGAGATATAATAATAGTACATGAGATATTTTTGGAAGTTCTCGGCTATCAAGCTGAATAATCTGAACTCTATATAAACTGAACAATCATTGAAAGATTTTGAGCTTAAGAATTGTGTGACAGATGCAGCCATAAAAAAGAATGAGATCATGTCTTGTGGGAATATGGATGGAGCTGCAGGCTATTATCCTTAGCAAACAACGCAGGAACAGAAAACCTGTGTTACAGAATACGGCTTGTTCTCACAATTGGGAGCTAAATGAAGAGAACTTACCAACGCAAAGACAGAAATGACAGACATGGGTGTACCTGAAGGTGCAGGGTGGGAGGAGGGAGAGGAGCAAGATGACTATTGGGTATTGGGCTTAATTCCTGGGTGATGAAATAATCTGTACAACAAACTCCCATGACATGAATTTACCTATGTAACATATCCTCACATGTACCCCCGAACCTAAAAGTTTTTTTTTATATTGTGTAATCATTACACTATAATGGAATAATATTTTAGGAAGGTTAATCTGATACCGGGATGCACTAAAGAGGCAGAAGGTGGAGGGGACACTATAGTGCATTCCAACAGAAATGAGCATGAATTTTGATAGAGGCAGTAGAAAGAGAAGAGGGTGGAGCCCAGGTGATGAGTAGAGAATACATAATGAATGAAAGAGAAAGATGAGAGGGGAAGGGTTTGTTTTCAGAGATACAGAATTTAGACAAGTTGAAAATGTGACCTCGGTTTCCTGAGAGCTTGAGGTATAACAGGCTTGGGGAACAGGCTTGCAGAAAAGTGAGAGTTAATATTAAGATCTAAGAGAGCAAACAAAGGAAGAGAGGACCAAAATAGACTCCGGGTTGGGGGGCGGGGAACCTATTTAAGAGAAAGTGGGATCTGTTTTTTAAAAACTGGAACAAACAAAATGAAGAAAAAGTAGTCAGAGATGTAGAATGAGAGCTAGAATATAGATCTTCCAAGCTAATAGAGAAAGAATGGTCAACCACATCACCACTCTCCCCAACTACCCTCACCAGTCTTGAGTTTTCACTTTGTTTCATTTCTCAATTGGTTAAAACAGTGGTTCTCAAACCTGGCATTTATCACAATCTCCTGGGAATGAGGATATCAAAGAATTCAGGTCTGGAGATTTTGTTTGAAATCTCAAAATCTGTCTATTTAAACATTTCCCTTACAGCTCATGGGCCACTACTTCAGATATAATTTGGGTTACAGTATTAAAGGAAATGTGGTAAACACTAAAATCAAATAAACACACTTAAAAATTATTACACAGTTGAAGAAAAACTATTAAAATCTTAGGATATATGTGAGAGTTGGATAAGCAGGAGGAAAGGGGGAAGCAATATAGGGCTAAATCTGTTTACATGTAAAAGTCAGAAGTTATTCTTTTGTCTTTGTTTTTATAATTAGATGTGACAAAGATAAAAGAATGGATATTACATTATGAGTATTTGTAGACTTCTCCCCTCTCCCTACTTCCTAACAAGGTTCCTGGCCTCCCTGCTGAACTCTGGGTACTAAGGTGCCAGTCTGAAAAATGAAAGAAGAGGAAAACTGAAAGAAGCCTGGCTCAATTAGCCTATATAAAAATGAAAATGGCTAACAACTGGGAACTTACTGTCAGGCTAAGATAATTGAGAACCTTACTGTAAGGTATTTACTGTTCTAAATACCTGACATATATTAACTCATTTAATTCTCACAACAACCCTATGAATTAAATATTATTACTATTTCTATTGTACACGTGGGAAACAGAGCTAGTAAGTGGCACAGATGGATTCAAACTCAGGCAGTCAATAGCTCCAGAACTTTTGCTGGTCTTAATCACTACCCTATACACTTCATATAATAAATAATGAACAGGCTGGGCACGGAGGCTCATGCCTGTAATCCCAGCACTTTGAGAGGCTGAGGCAGATGGATCACGAGGTTAGGAGTTCAAGACCATCTTGGCCAACATGGAGAAACTCCGTCTCTACTAAAAATACAAAAATTAGCTGAGCATGGTGGTGCACCCCTGTAGTCCCAGCTACTCGGGAGGCTGAGGCATGAGAATCACTTAAACCCGGGAGGCAGAGGGTGCAGTGAGCTGAGATCGTGCCACTGTACTCCAGCCTAGGCAACAGAACGAGATTCCGCCTCAAAATAAATAAATAAATAAATAAACAAATAATGAACAGATAAAGAGTGAGGCAGAGAGAAAATAAACCAGTGGAACGCATTGAAAAAGATACTTTTGAGAGTACATGGAGAACAGATAAAAGACATTAAAACTAAGTGTATTAATTAAAAATATGAAGTGATAGGAGGCACTTTTACAACTAATACATTAGAAAATTTTTTATTTAAATGGTCAACATTTTGTAGACTAATTATAGTTTGCTCCCATCCCAGAATACATCTTGGGAGTAGATAACTTATCAGGCCTGACCCCACAAACAACTGCAGGGGAATTCTGACGGAGAGTTAGGTGGTGAACCCTGTGATCAGAGAATGCAAAATGGACACCAGGACACTTTCCAGCCCTGCCGTGAGTAGAGGTGCTGAGCAATACCACCTGCAAGGGTGGGGACATGATGAAATCACAGAGACTATATGGGAGTTAGCCTGGGCAGGCACTATAAGGCCAGTGCACAGCCCATACAACAGCCCTGAATGGCCCATGCAGAAGCCTGATGGGACACAAAGAATAACAGTAGATTACTAGGAATTAAGTAAGGTGGTCCCCCCAGTGTATGTGGCTGTTCTCAATATCACCTCTCTTGGGACAAGGGTAGGAGAAGCCATGGGCATATACCATTTGGCTATTGATAGCCAATGCCTTCGGCATCCCCCATCGCCCTCAGAGAGTCAAGACCAATTTGCATTCACATGGGAAGAAAAACAATGGACTGTCTTGCCCAGGGATACCACCCTGGAGGGGATACATGTTTTCCATTAACTTTTAGGTCTTTTTCTGGCTTATAATCTGCACAGCCCCCACCTTACCCTCTCACTTGGCGAACAAAGGATTGGCAGTCAACGCATACAAAGACCAGAGGCCAGGTTTGTCAGTCTGGTTGTCATCTGGTTGGGTAAGACGAAGGTCTTTCAGTCTGCTCTTATGGATAAGGTGTAGGCCTACCCATGTCCTACCACACCAAAGCACTTGCAAACTTCCTTAGGCCTCCTACAGTGTTGGTATCCTTTTATTCCTCATTTGGCCCAACTCCTTAGGTCCCTATACTGCTAGTCAAGATGGGGGCCCACTGGGACTGGTCCACAAAGGAGGATGAGGCCTTTGAACAAGCTAAAGTTGCAGTGAAACAAATACAAGCCTAGGACTTGTAGTGCAGGGGCAGCCTTGTGAACTGAACGTAGCCAGTTACCCTGAGGGGTTTGGGTGGGGCCTGTGGTGAAGGCAAGGGCATAAATGTGTGCCTTTAGGATTCTGGTCCCAGCTGTGGAAGGGGGCTTCAGCTAGCTGGAGTGCCACAACTCTGGGCTATGTATGCTTTACAATAAGTGGAGGACATTACAAAGTGGGTCCTAGTGCTAGTACGCACCCAGTACCAATAGCAGGTTGACTAAAGGGTACCTTCCGGAAGCTAAAGCCTGGGAATGCCCAAACACAGACTGTAGCCAAAAGGCATGCATACCTCAACAAAGGAGCACATTCATTAATAGCCCCTTGAGCACAGAGCTCCATTTGGTGCTCAGTACTGTCACCTATGTAACATCTGAAAGACAGTCTTTGAAAGAGGCCGCTGAACCTCCACAGATTTCCTCCTTTGTACAGGAGGGACAGGGCCCAATTCTTGACCAGATCTGGTACACAGAGAGCTTGCTATGAGGCAATCCTTGCACATGGACAGCTGCAGCCATCCAGCTGTCCACTGACAGGATCTGGCTTGATACAGGCCTAGGACTTAGTAACAAATGGGCTAAGCTGAGAGCCACCTAGACGATCCTCCTCTATGAGCCGGACCCAATAGTCTTGTGTACCAACAGCTGGGCCATCTTTAAGGGACTTGCTATGTGGCTACCACAAGGAGAAGCTCAGGATTGGACAGTAGCAGGCTGCCTGCTTTGGGGTGCTGGCATGTGGAAGGACATTCTCTGTCACATCCAGGGAATGCATGTAACAGTCTTCCATGTGGATGCCCACACTGCATCTACGCCATCTGGAAATCAACATGAGAACAAGCTAGCCTGCATTCATCTCTTCAAGGTAGTCCCCACAGACGTGGCCCACTGGCTGCCCAAAAAGACAGGACTTTGGGGACAGCATTCCCTTTGGGCCACAGTGAAGAATTAGGGCCTGCCACTATGACATAAAGACATAGTACACCTCTGTCAGCAATGTCCTACCCATGCACAGGAATGCCCTAGGCCCTTGCCACACAATACTGGAGAGATCCCCTGGGGCCAGAGTCCAGTACAATGGTGGCAGGTAGACTACATAGGGCATTTGTTTCTATCTAATGGCTGCTACTATACCTTGACTTATGTGGACACCTGCACAGGGCTACCACAGTCATATCCCAGCAAGCATGCTACCCAGAAAACTATCATAAAAGGACTAGAGTGGCTGTGTGTGGCCTATGGTGTCCCCACCAATATCAATAGTGACCAGGGCTTGCACTTTACCAGACATAAAGTGTAGGAATGGGTGGAGGCCCTGGATATCCACTGACATTTCCACCTGCTGTACATCCCTGCAGCCGTGGGGCTGATTTAAAGGATGAATGGACTGTTGAAGCAACAACTCCAGCAGGAGACGCACTCTGGCTCTGTGGACACACCATTTACCAGCAGTTGTCTGCACCCTGAATGAACATGGCGTTCTCATCACCAGTGCCTATGTCCTTCCGATGCAAGAACGTGATACCACTCTCAGGATCCAGGTGGACAAGGTAAGGGACGATACTCCTTTGTCCCATCCTGAGACTCAAGATAACCTGTGATTGTCCTTGCCACAGGACCTGTCCACTGGGGAGCACATCATTATGTGGTCTTGGAAATGGCAAGCCAGTCCCCGATGCTTTGGTTTTTCCACTCCATGGGGGAAGGGCCTAGACCAAGATACACAGGTCACACCTATTTTGCGCCCTGCTCCCCATCATATTTCTAAAATAATGAATCCTGGTCCTCCCTTGTGAAAGGGGATGATCATCCTCTCATTATGAAACATCATGATACTCCCATTGTCTTATTCTGGCCTCCCGCAATGCATCCCAGAGGGGGCCAATCCATTTGGTGATGTCAGCCAGGTCCCAGGCCACTGCCAAGGATGACGCTTTCTCAGAACAATACAACTTCCTGTGTCTTGTTGAACGGCTGTTATTGCCCTTCCTTGTACCCACTAAACATCTCATCTTCCACCCACAGATGGTGTGCAGCAGACCCTCTTTACCAACTGGGCACAGATGGTGGCCTCTCTCCAGAACAAAACAGACTGTTGGGCCTGTGAAGAGCTGCCCCTCTCCTCCATCATAAGCCTGCTGTGGTGAATCCAAAATTAACTCCCAAGTTGGATTATTTTTTGTTTTAGTTTGCATTGCTGCTGCAGCAGTCTGGCAGCGATGCTTCTCCACATTACCTGGCCCCAGGGAAATCATGGAAGAATAGCGTGATAAAAATGTGAGAGCTGTTCCAGGGTAGCTGGGGTGGACTGTATGGTAGAAGCACCTGATAGCAGTACCTTAACTTAGCCATAACCTGAGAATGGCCCTGTATGGCAGAGGCACCTGAATGTGTGTTCAGAGTTCCAAGCTGAGGAATCCAGGAGTGGCCAACCCAGGCATTCATTCCTTATCTATGAGGAACATCTGAGCCCCTGGCCTGTCTAGTGAAACACAGGCCATACAGGGGATTGAGGCCCTTTGTTTTGGGTTAAGTGAAGGTTGCCAGGTGAAGATGGTTAGGGGGAGGGTGCTTAGTGAAAATGCTATATAAACTACATGCTTTTTGCAAGTGGTTACAGTTCTCCTGCCCAGCCTGCTGCCTCTGGGCCGTATGGTTCTCCAGCCCAGCACCCCCTCACTGGGCTGTGTGGTTCTCCTGTCCAGCCTGCCGCCACTGGCCCTCCCTCTTTGTAGGTTTCCTGCTAATAAAGCCCTATGTCCTGTTTGCTGGCTCTGGGTCTCTTCTTCAGTCTCTTGAACATGTTGCCATCCCTGTTGAGGTTAATAGGGGTTCAGCATTACATCAGTATAACATGAAAAAAAATTAGTGACATGACCAAATTTTAAAATATCTTCCTTAAAATATTCAATTATAAAACATAATGCAGAATGTCAAGAAGACAGAATCAGCATATGCAGAAATAACCCCTTCCTACACTGAGTCAAGAAAAATAATAGAGAATATACTAAAAGAATTTAATATAAATATAGCTGCATTGAAATCAGAGGGTAATTCTCAGCAGAATAATGTGAGCACTATTTTAAATAAGGAAAGTAAGGAAAACTCAGTCTCTGCAAGACATTAAAGCAAGAAGCATCAGAGATCACAGCAGAAAAGCTACTATGGAAAAGCAAGATACTCCTAACATCTGGAGATAGTCAACACCACGAAAGAGAGATGACAGATCCAACAAACAGAATAATTTACAAGCTGATGAAACAGTAAAATGAGTATTCAGAACAGGGCTTAAAACATGTATATTTAATATCCTGAAAAGATAAAGATGGTAAATGCCACCAAACAAGAAACAGGAGATCATAACAGGCTAATGGACATTTCAAGAAATGAAACAAGTGACCTGGGAAAATTTTAAAATGATAGTGTGAAAGGTGATACGCAAAATGGTGTCACTCTGGTTCAAGCTCTCAAATGGAATTGGGAAGCCATTCTAAGAAGGACTGCCTGCATATCCCGTAGACTTGAAGGAAGAAAAAACCAAACAAACCCAGAAACTTGTCTTGTACCTTTGAGCTGAGCCAAACTTCCATGTCCACAGCAGCCTGGAAAACAGCTGAATTTAATTCCTGAGCAATAAAAACTAAAAATAAAATCCTAAGCCCCCCAGCCAACCAAACAGACCCTTCTTGGCCAAGGGGACTTCAGAGAAACCTTAAAAACTGAGTTCCAGGCCATGAAGGGATGGGAGGTCAGACATGCCTCATTGTACCCCCTCCCTTCTGCAGCTTAATGCTGGTCAGTTGTCTAATGTTAAAATAGAGCTCATAAGACTGACAGAATGGACTCTTTGTAGTAAGAAGATACCAAATTATAAATAGACCTAATGTCATGCCAGGCAAGGGTTAAGTTATGTATGCCTACATTTTAAGAATAAACTATGTTCTAATTGCTTCTTCTTTTCCTCTATCAGCAAAACAAGTGCTGGCCTTGAGATAAGCAATATTAAAACAATTGCAGCTCATCCACCACCAATGCTAACTCATCCCCTCTTCCACAAGCCATACCTACAGCTTTAATTGGACAAGAGACCTATATCAGTAACTTTCATGGATAAAAGACCACAGACTATGGACTGGTGATGGCTGATTTACAGAGGCTGTGAACTTGAGTGTCTTTGTGTCCCTACTTCACCTTTTGACATATAGGGCCTAACTGTAATACATTTCAATGTTAAATCTCTGTCCCAAAGTGAACATGGAATGCATGTAACATGCATGCTTGCTTATCACACACGTGTACATCCCCACTTTGTGAATATTCATAAGTCCTCTTATAAGCTAATGAATATGTATATTTAGCCAACCTGTTCAGAATAAATTTCTATCTCATCCTTCCCTTCCTAGAAGTGCCTGCTAATGGTCTCTGCTAGAGGCTGTACTTCCCAGGCTGCAGAATGGCCAGCCTGGTAGGCTGTAACCCTTTACAAGAAAGTCTCCTCTCCAAAGTTAAGATCTCAAGATTCTTATGTTGACAGTAACAATCAAAGAACTACGGACTCCTGTACTAAGCCACCCCCTTCACCAATGATAATTCTTTCAACACAACTTATGTAATCACCCTTAGCTTCTTTTTGATTTTTTCTTAAAACCCCCTATTCTCCACCTCTCTTCACAACACAGTTTGGCTTCCAGCTGAATCTGTGACTCTTAAATTGCAATTTCTAGGACTCCAATAAATTCCCTGATTTATTGCATTGTAGTCTGGTCTTTAGCCTCTTGTTGGTTGACAACAGCTTGAGAAGAAAATTGGTGGCTGCAACATTGAGGAATTCTTCCAAAGAAATAAAATTATATATATAATATGATATAATTATATATAATAAATATATAAAGAGATTATATATAATATATAAATATATATAAAGAGATTATATATAATTATATTATATATTTATATAATTATATTATATATTTATAAATTATATTATATATATTTATATAATTATATTATATATTTATAAATTATATTATATATATTTACATAATTATATTATATATTTATATAATTATATTATATATTTATATAATTATATTATATATCTTTATATAATTATATTATATACAATATAATTATATTATATATTTATATAATTATATTATATATTTATATAATTATATTATATATCTTTATATAATTATATTATATATTTATATAATTATATTATATATCTTTATATAATTATATTATATCTTTATATAATTATATTATATATCTTTATATAATTATCTTATATATCTTTATATAATTATATTATATATTTATATAATTATCTTATATATCTTTATATAATTATATATTTATATAATTATCTTATATATCTTTATATAATTATATATTTATATAATTATCTTATATATCTTTATATAATTATATATTTATATAATTATATTATATATATTTATATAATTATATATTTATATAATTATATTATGTATATTTATATAATTATATATTTATATAATTATATTATATATTTATATAATTATATATTTATATAATTATATTATATATATAATATAATTATATATTTATATAATTATATTATATATATAATATAATTATATATTTATATAATTATATTATATATATTTATATAATTATATTATATATTTATATAATTATATTATATATTTATATAATTATATTTATTTATATAATTATATTATATATTTATATAATTATATTATATATTTATATAATTATATAAATTTATATAATTATATTATATATATTTATATAATTATATTATATATATTTATATAATTATATATTTATATAATTATATTATATATTTATATAATATTATATATAATATATATTTAATATATTAATAATTAATAATATATATTTATATATAAAATATATAATTGTATAATACATATGTTATATATTGTATATCATTATATTATGTATAGTATATATTATATATAGTATATAATATATAATATATAGTATATAGTATGTAATATATATTATATATAGTATATAGTATATAATATATATTATATATAGTATATAATATATAGTATATACTATATATTATATAGTATATAATATATATTATATATAGTATATATTATATAGTATATAGTATATAATATATTATATATTATATTACAGTATATACTATATTATATATTATATTACATGATATATAATATATTATATTACATGATATATAATATATTATATTACATGATATATAATATATTATATTACATGATATATATTATATTACATGATATATATTATATTACATGATATATAATATATTATATTACATGATATATATTATATATTACATGATATATATTATATTACATGATATATATTACATATTATATTACATGATATATGATATATGATATATTATATATAATGATATATTATATATGATATATTATATATAATGATATATTATATATGATATATTATATATAATGATATATTATATATGATATATTATATATAATGATATATTATATATGATATATTATATATGATATATTATATATGATATATTATATTATATAATGATACATTATATATAATATATATTATATTATATAATGATATATGATATATAATATATCATATATAATATATCATGATATATGATATATTATACATATTATATAACATGATATATGATATATTATATATAATGATATATTATATATAATATATAACTGATATATATAATGATATATTATATATTATATGTAACATATAATATATTATATATAATGATATATTATATATTATATATAATGATATATATTATGTATTATATATAATGATATATATTATATATTATATAACATATATATTAATTATATTAAAGATTATATTATATATAATATTGTATATTAAGCATAATATGATATTAATATTATATATTAAGTGTAAGAAGACCCTATATTTTTATTTAGCAGTTCTTTTTTATTGAAGGATTGTAATCATTCTTAAATTCTGAAAAAAATATTGACCATAGATTTTTCCAGTATTTTTTCTTCCATCTTCTCTATTCTCTTACTTAGAACTCCTATTTGTTGAAACTGTATTTAAACTTCCTTTCTTTTATATCATATATATCAATATATGATATTATATATGATATAAATTATATATATGATATACATAAATTATATATATATATAAATGTTTTCTTTTTTTTGTGACAGAGTCTCACGCTTGTCACCCAGGCTGGAGTGCAATGGCACAATCTCCGCTCACTGCAACCTCTGCCTTCCGGGTTCAAGCAATTCTCCTGCCTCAGCCTTCTGAGGAGCTGGGATTACAGGCACCTGCCACCACGCCCAGCTAATTTTTGTATTTTTAGTAGACACGGGGTTTCACCACATTGGCCAGGCTGGTCTTGAACTCCTGACCTCAGGTGATGTGCCCGCCTCGGCCTCCCAAGGTGCTGGGATTACAGGTGTGAGTCACCACAGCTGGCCAAGAGATCCAAAATATAAAAGAGAAAGGAAGTTTAGATACAGTTTCAACAAATAGGAGTTCTAAGTAAGAGAACAGAGAAGATGGAAGAAAGAAAATACTGGAAAAATCTATGGTCAATATTTTTTTCAGAATTTAAGAATGATTACAATCCTTCAATAAAAAAGAACTGCTAAATAAAAATATAGGGTCTTCTTACACTTCAATATGGTAGAATTTCAGAACATTTAGGATAAAGACAATTTTCTAAAAGCTAAGAGAGAAAGGTCAGATTACCTCCAAAGGAATGCAAATCAAATTGATATCAGATTTCTCAGCAGCATCATTAGGTTGCAAGAAGATAGTAATGCACTATTTTCAAAATGTTGAAAGAACAAAAAGTTTAAGAAGACAAAACTTTTTGCTGCCAAAAATGTAGTTCACTTATAATGGAGCACAAAACGTTTCCCTTCTTGCAAGAAAATCAGCCATATGAATAAAGAGCCTTAACGATGTTCAAATTCTTTAACCTATCTAGGAATCTACGTTCCGAAGTGATAATCAGAAATGCAGTACATCACAAATGCAATAAGCCCTAGTGCAGCACTTTCAACAGCAAAAATTGTAACATTCCAAATATTCAAAATTAGGGGAAGAATTAATCATAGTTCAGCCATATGAATAAATACTTGCCATCATTAATACAGTGAAAAGACTAATGAAATAAGGAGCATCACTTAGAACAGCAAACCAAAAGTGTTCAAACAGTTATGATGCTTATTATCTCACTTTAGAATTTTGGAGGTAGAAAAAAAGCAATTAGTTAACTCTGGCAAATACTGCTTGCTGTCATCCAATATTTATTCTCCTTTCTCTGAAAGAGAACCCTGATTTTAGGTGGGCACATGGCCGCCCCCGAAATTACCACCTTTTGCAGACTCTATAAATACTAAATACTAGTCAATGTGATATAAGCTGATGTGTCATACGGCTTCCAAGAAGTGTCAAAGTAAGGGTGGGGGGAAGTGCATTTCCTACTTGCTGACTGGAATTCAGAAGTCATAGCTGGAAATCAGGCAGCCATCTTGGCCTATGAAGAGGAAGCCACATCCTGAGAATGGTAGGGTAGAAAAAAAGAAGGAATCAGGATCTCTAACACCAAGGAGGACGATGTCTGCTCTGGAACACCTACTTCTAGACCGTTTTTACAAGACAGAGAAATAAACTGCAATTAAGACACTGTTGAGTCTTCTGATACACACATCTGAACCGAATCCCAAAATCTCGGCTCTACCCTTAGAGTTCCTGATTCAGTAGGTCTGGGGATAGGGCCTTATAATTTCCATTTCTAACTAGGTCCCAGGTGATGTTAATGCAGCTTGTCTGGGGACCATACCTGAAGAACCACTGCACTAATGGAGGTAATAACTTAGTAGTTTTCAAGCTGTGCTTTACATTAGAATCACTGGAAAAGAGGGAGGCTTTAAAACACACACACACACACACACACACACACACACACACACACACCCAAGGCTAATTTCAGAAACTCTAACTGGTCTGGGCCAGATGATTCTAAGGTGTAGACTGAATGATGTAACTCTTTCCCTACTTACTGAAACAATAGTAATGAGAAAGAAATACCTGTGTTTCCTCACAGAGTGGGGGTTGATATTTAGAAAGCTGCTCTTGATGGCCCAGAACTTGAAGCCAAAAGACTGAATTTAATTCCCTGATCTTAGACAGTTATGAGGACCTAGAACAACGTAGTATCTCTGGACCTTGGTTACATTATTTGCAAAATGGTGATGAAAATATTTACATCATTGGGTTTTTGTGTAGATTATGTAATATAGGTGAAAGTACTTTATATTACACAGAATAAGGGAGGCCCAGCTGATTTTCTATGGAGAATCTGAGTTAGTTTAGCCCTACGACTGAACTGAATAAATGGAAAAAATAGGAGAAAAACAATAGAGAACATAAGAAATAACATAGGACTCATCTGTGACTCCCTGCCAGAGGACTGGAATGTGTGATAAGATCCACCGTACCTCCTGTGATGCGTGCTGCTCCCTCTTCCTTTTCTTGACTTATTATCATGAGTATATTTTCAACAGGTGTTCCTAGTCTGAAATAACTCCTCAGGTGATATTCCTGGCCTGAAGCACACAGACCTTGTCTGTATAGAAGTAGGTGTTAAAGAATGGATATTCTAGTGATTAGGATCATTATACTGCCATCATTAACCAGAACCTGAAATCACCAGTCTCTGCAATGGTTCCCAGGTGGCTGTTTTATATTTAGGTGTCTGGCTGCGGATGTACCAGATGTCGCAAATTGACCCTTTCTTCTTTCAGGATAAAGGGGGATTTAGATTGGGTCCTTGAGGGCCTCAGGTGCCAGACTGAATTTGGACTTTATTCTGTAGCCTGTATAAATCACTGGTTTTAATCCCAGAAGTGTCAAAGCATGGTGCTCTGAGAGCATCAGCCAGGGGCCTGTGTAATGGGTTAGACTGAGCTGAGGCTGAAATCAAGATGACCAGCATAGAGGTTACTGAAGTAATACCGTAACAGAGTAGAAGCAATAGAAGTTGATGGGAAATAATAAATGCAAGAGATAGGGTGGATGAAAATGAACAGCACTTGGTCATTCATAAGTGTCAAATTTTTTTTGGTAAATACTGGTATCCTTCAATAACTAAAGATTGACAAGGCTATCTTTCTCCTCCCTCGGTACTAGGTAGTGTCATACAGTTAAAACAAGTCTCAGACTGAATGCTACTACACAAATCTTATCAGCAAGCAGACACAAAAAACAGTACACAAACAGTACTTTGTGGCAAAATATTAAACAGAAGTCTAGACTAAGCCATTCTGAAGGCTGTCGGTCTGCTACACAGCAGATTTCTACGCCACAGTTATGCATAAGTGCTTGTACAGTATTCTAACCAGCCACGTATTTTGAACATCTTGTTTCCACAATGAAGAATTCTTTCTAATCCTTTATGCTAACTAAGGTACATCTAGTGCAGATTTACATGGTGATACTGGAAGCATCTGTGCATTCAACTCTGCAGTGAACATTTTTGATTAGTCTTTCAAATGCTAATTACCCACCCTGGGCTGTGCAGATTAACTTTCAAACATACACACATCTCACTGAAGTATTCTAAAGTATAAGGACAAGATAACAAGCATCAAAAATGGTTTTAAAGTCATAAGGCAGAAGACCATGTTAGAGGAAGATGATGAAAAACCACTGATTTAGTGAGCTGGTCTTAGTGCTAAGCAACTGAATGCAGCTGTAGCTAATTTAAGCAGAAAGTAAGTTTACTAGAGGACGCTAAGTAGTTCAAAGGATAGCTGGAGATTGAGGCTTGCACCTACATGGCCAGAATCTACCTTGGCTGTTACCGGTGGAAGGTGTCCAGGTTCTTGGCATCTTGAACAAGGAATTAGACAAAACGCACAAACAAAGCAAGGAAGGAATGAAGCAACAAAAGCAGAGATTTATTGAAAATGAAAGTACACTCCACAGGGTGTGAAGAGCCGGAACATGGGGCTCAAGAGCGGGGCGGCCGGGTTATAGAATTTTCTGGGGTATAAACACCCTCTAGAGGTTTCCCATTGGCCACTTGGTGTACACCCCACGCAAATATAGTGGCCCACAATCAGTCTGATAGCGGAAAGCAACCAATCAGAGCCTGAAGCGAAGTTACAAAGGTTACACCCTATGCAAACATTTAATTAGTTATGGAAAGCAACCAATCCGAGGTACTTTCAATTTTCCGTCTGCCACGCAGAAAAGGGCGGTGGTGGGGGAGGGGGCCGGGTCCCTTTGTTACTTAGCTGTGGAAAGTTGGGGCTTTCCTTTTGATTTAGTTCTAGAAAGTCAGCATGAATCAGCCGTAAGTTCCTTGCCTCCAGACCCTATTGTCCTGCCTCACAGCTATGTAGTACAGAGTCTGTCACAGGCTACCCAGAAATGTACACAGAGACTGTTAACAGGCTACAGAACAGATTGGGAAAGGGCTCTGGGGTTGTGACCCTCACCAAGCACAGGCATCTTGCATCTCTGACATGTTAATGGTGGATGCCAGCACTCTCACTACTGCCTCGGAAGCTTACCTTGCTGTTAGGGATGGGTTCTCGATCTCTACACTTGCTATACTCCTACAGGTGACCTGGGAGTGTAGCTTTCTGTGCCTTTTTTGACTCATGGCTTCCAGCGGGTACACATGATTAGTTAAACAAGTGTTCAGCATTTCAGCGGCAGCCATTAGACTCTTAACTCAGGTGGGGAATTCTCCAAATACGGAAGGGGATTCAAATGGGGGGCATAATAAATGTATATAAATGTCCATTAAAGGCAAGTTGAGTTGGAAGTGATGACAATATATTTGAGTAGAAACATCTAGCAGGTAGTTGGAAATGTGGCACTCGTGTTCCCCAGAGAGCTAGTTACAGATTTGGGAAGTTGAGTTGTGATTGCTTTTAAAATCAGGAGTCTAGAGAGAATCTAACTCAAAATTTTCATCCACATATGCAGAATCTCAATCTGAGAGTTGTTCATTCCTATAGATGTGCTGGCCACACCAACCCCCAACATCTATTATGAAAATTAGGAAATTCACACTCTATTATGGAAAATAGGAAAAATATATAGATAATACATGCAAAACAAGTGGGAGGAGAGAACTACGGATCGTGGAGAGCCTATTGCATATTATTATTTTACAAATATTTAAGTGCCAACTATGTGTCAGGCACTATGCTAAGGTGATTTAATGTTGAGCAAAACCCGACATGTCCCTGCATTTGAGGAACTGAAAGGTCTGAGGGAGGGCCTAAGGAGCTTGGGCCTTAGCTGGTTACAAAGCCATATATTATGCCATATATATTAATGAGCAGCAACGCCTCCCGCAGTATTTACAGCCCACGCGTGGCAGTCCTGTCCACCCTGTCCCCGTTCGGTCCAGCCCGAGGCGGTGGCCTAGATGCTTGATGGGCACTGTCAGCCTGATCTTTGGTGGTCTTCCCGCTGTCTGTTCTCAGCTGCTGATTCCAGGTCCCAGGAGTCGACTTTGGCTTGAGGAAGGCAGGCGCCTTAGGTGGGGCAGTTGACACTCGCGCAGCGCCTTGCTCACCTGAGTGTGTGGCGGCGCGCGGGTTTGGGCGGGGAGGGGGCCGGGCCTCGGGAAGGAGGCGCGCCGCGCAGTTTGACCCCGGCGGCGTTCCGTACCGTCGCGGATTTCGGCGGCGGAAACATGGCGGTCGCGGCCGGGCCGGTAACGGAGAAAGTTTACGCCGACACTGGCCTGTATTAGCGCGTATGGCCTCGGGCCCTCGTTCCCCAAGGCGTGCCGCCTCCCTGTTCTCAGTCGCAGGCTGAAGCCTTGTCTGCTCTCCTCCTTTTTGGTTTGGTTTTGGAACTGACTCCGAGGGTTGGGAGAGCGCGTTGGTGGCGACGGCCGAGTCAGGTAGGGAGAAATGGGTGGACGGCAGGGCGGCGAGATCTAGGCATAGACACTGCCAGGGCTCCGCGTGGTCCGGACCCCAAGCTCCGCCCAGTCGGCCTCCCAGGGCCGGGGTAGGATACCTGCCTCTGGAGGAGTTGACAGTGGTGGTTGGAGATTGGAGGGTGTGGGAGCGCCTCTCCGTATTTCGCAAGGGTTCCCCCTCAACTGGGCGCCACGTTGTGGTCGCGTTCTCCGAGGCAGAGGATGGTGGAGAACAGCCAAGCTCCTTGTCGGACCTCCCACATCTCGCTAGAAGGAGGCCGAAAGGGAGAGAAATTGCTGTTGCTGCTCTAGTGCTGAGGAGTTTGATATTCTAGATGACATTTTCCTCGTATGAGATGGCTCAAAGAGTTATCAGTAATTCAGAACTGAAGCACTGAAATTCCCTGTTTTTTCAGTGTAGTTCTTTCAGCCTTGACACTTCTAGATGGGACAGAGTTTCTGAGTGAAAGATAATGCAAGTGATACGGTATGCCTCAAGCCATTCCCTAGAGGTAGGACATGGAGAGAGAATTGGTTTGGAAGAATTTGGGTGAATTAAGTAAAGACTGGTGGAAAGCTGAAATAGAAACCAAACATTCATGGACTCTCCCTTAGTTCTACTAGTTATTAGTTGTGGGATATAGCTAAGTTCTGTATTCTCTTTAGGCATTAGTAAGTGTCCAATGGTGACTATTGTTGTTAAATGTAGTTATTTCTTTATTAGTCTTTATTTTTCAACAAGTATTTATTGAATACCTTCTTGATGCCGGATTTTTGCTAGTCACTGGGTGTACAGTATTGAAGACAAACCCTCAGAGACCTTTTGATCTAGTGGGAAATGCAGACATGAAATAAGTGATGGTATGTAACAGAGAAAGTATGGGGGTCATGTAATGGGGAGGGGGCAGGGATAATCTCTTAAGAAAATGATTTATCTGAGACCTGAAGAGTTGGAATAAGCCAGGTGTGAGCACTGGGGTGGGGCCAGGAGGAGGAAAAGGAGTGTACCTGGCAAGGGAATAGCATTTGTGCAGTTTGTAATTGAAAGGTCAGTAAGGTTGGAAAATAAAGTGTGAGAGGAAAACTGGTAACAGATAAGGCAGGAGAGTTATTCAGGCCCAACACGGAGTGCCTTATAAGGCACTGTAAGGAGTTTTGACTTTATTGCTAAGGGTGATGGGACGCCATTGGAGCATTTTACATAGTGGAGTGCTAAATTTTGGTTTTAAAAAGTACACTTCTTAGAGAGGGCAAGAGTGGATACAGGGAAATGTTCAACATGATGGTGGCCAAAATTGGGATGGTGACCCTGGGGACGAGAAGTAGAAACATTTAAAAAATGTTTAGGAAGAATAGTAGACAGGACTTGGTGAGGATTAAATGTAGATGATGGTGGAGAGGAGGGTTAGAATAGTATGTAAGGTTTTATGAAATAATCAGACTCTGGCAGTGATTGGTTAGCTTTTCCCATATGCATATTGACTCCTCTATGGTCCATTTTCATCTACCTCTGGAATAATTGTCCATTGAATCATTAGTGACGGCAAACCGATTGAAAAGGAATGTAATGTTTTTCTGTTATTCTCTAACTCAGGCTGTCTTTTGAAGAAGATCAGAATGGGGAAGAGTTTTGTAAATTAGCCATTTAAAAACAATCTGCCATGTTGATTTTGGTCCATAGGAAGGTAACTGCATATATTGCATTATATGGATGCACTGTACTTCACTAATTTTTTTTTTACATGTTTACATTTACTTTGTTTCCAGGTATTTACCTCTGTTAACAGTGCAGAACAGAGCTGGTGCTTCATTTTCTATAGGTAGATTAATATATGTGTGCACTTAAGTAGAGAGATAATAATCAAAGACATAGAAATAAATGACATTGCTTAGAGAAAGTATATAGTGAGAGAAAAGCCTAGGTTTGGGGTTGAACATCCAAAGGATGGGTTGAGAATGAAGAACCTTCAAGGAGACCGAGGAGGGGAAACCAATAAATTAAGAAAAAAAATCTGGGGAGTTAGTCTTTGGATGCCTGCAAAAAGGAATGGTTTGGAAGGTGAGAGAAGTCAACAATGTAAATTTGTTTAAAGAATATGCAGGATATGGCCGGGTGCAGTGGCTCACACCTGTAATCCCAGCACTTTGGGAGGCCAAGGCGGACGGATCACCTGAGGTCGGGAGTTCAAGACCAGCCTGACCAACATGGAGAAACCCCATCTCTACTAAAAATACAAAATTAGCCGGGCATGGTGGCACATGCCTGTAATTCCAGCTACTTGGGAGGCTGAGGCAGGAGAATCGCTTGAATCCGGGAGGCAGAGGTTGCGGTGAGCCGAGATCGCTCCATTGTATTCCAGCCTGGGCAACAAGAATGAAACTCTGTCTCAAAAAAAAAAAAAAAAAAAAAAAAAAAAAAAAAAAATGCCAGTCGCAGTGGCTCACGCCTGTAATCCCAGAACTTTGGGAGGCGAGGCGGGTGGATCACCTGAGGTCAGGAGTTTGAGACCAGCCTGGCCAATATGGTGAAACCCCGTCTCTACTAAAAATACAAAAATTAACTGGGCATGGCGATGGGCGCCTGTAATCCCAGCTACTCTGGAGGCTGAGGCAGGAGAATCACTTGAACCCGATAGTCAGAGGTTGCAGGAGAATCGCCTGAACCCGATAGTCGGAGGTTGCAGTGAGCCAAGATCCTGCCATTGCACTCCAGCCTGGACAACAGAGCGAGACTCCGTCCCCCCTTCCCCCTCCCCCCAAAAAAGAATATGCAGGATACTGAGTGAAAAGTACCCATTGGATTTAGGAATTTACAGGTCATTTCAACACTTAGCAGAGCAGTTGTGTGGTGGGAAACACCATTTAGTGGTTTGAAAAGTGAATGGGTAAGAAGTGAAGCAACTAAATACCAGCTGTCAAAAGGACACGAGATTGAGCTTCATAGAGGATATGGGGATGAGCAAGGATTGTTTTTGTTTTGTTTCTTTACTTTTTTGGTATTGTTTTTAAAAGAAACAGATTTATAAATGTTTAAATACTAATGGATAAAATAAAAGTGAGAGTTTGCAGAGAGAGGAGAGAGTCTGATGTTCTAGAAGAGGCGGAAGGAAAGATGCACAATATGGCTGAAAGGTTTAGCCTTAGATAGAGAAGCAACTGCCTTCTTTCCTTATATTCGGAGATATAAGTAGAGGTGGGTTTGTGGACTTGGAAACTCAAGTGAGCTCCCTTTTGATGACTCTCTAGGAGGCAGAGTCATCTGGTGAGAATGCAGTAGGAAGAAGTAGGGTATCAGAGATTTGAAGAGAGGAAATAGGGGTTTGAATAGTCACAAGAATGGGGAAGAATGTTGACCAGGGAAGGATGTTCCATGGATTTAGAGTGGCACCATTTAGCCTAGTATGTGAATTTCTTCCCCCCGTCCAGCAGTGTTCAGTAGTCTGAGCCCAGATTGTACCATCAGCTCTTTGAGGATATATATTCTAACGTATTTGTTGAATTATTTTATAACACACATTAGTGATGTTTAAAAAAAAAAAACTCAATGCATTCCAGATTTTGTCAGTTTCTCACACTCAAGTTAAAAAGATAAACCAAAATATACCAAAGGAAGACATTTTCTTTAACATTATGTGGTACCTTAAGACATGAGTGAATAAAGATGTAATTAAGGAAAATCAGTTGGAATACTTAAATAGACTTAGTTGTAAAAATAAAAAAAAATGTGCTTGTTGAACGTATAAAAGCAAAATAAGTAATAATACTCGGAACTTCCCAGAGACCCTAAGGTTGCTTTAGTAACATTCCTCTCCAGCCAGATGAGTACTAAGAGTTGATTCCAGGTTCTCATGTTTCTCTTGAGCCTTTTAGTGTACAGCTATTAAGAAAGTACAAATAAACTAATCAAAAACTCGTGGGTTTTTTTTGTTTATTTTTGGAGGCAGAGTCTCGCTCTATCCCCCAGGCTGGAGT
This sequence comes from Homo sapiens, assembly GCF_000001405.40. Taxonomy (NCBI): domain Eukaryota; kingdom Metazoa; phylum Chordata; class Mammalia; order Primates; family Hominidae; genus Homo; species Homo sapiens. Next base: position 112,786,166 of record NC_000007.14, on the reverse strand, counting down.
CCAGTGGCGTGATCTCCGCTCACTGCAACCTCCGCCTCCTGGGTTCAAGCGATTCTCCTGTCTCAGCCTCTTGAGGCATTACAGATGCCTCCCACCACACCTGGCTAATTTTTGTATTTTTAGTAGAGACAGGGTTTTGTCATGTTGGCCAGGCTGGTCTTGAACTGCTGACCTCAAGTGATCCACCTTCCTCACCCTCCCAAAGTTCTGGGATTGCAGGAGAGAGCCACCGTGCCTGGCCCTAGTTTCTTTTTAAATATCTGATTGGGTTCTCTTTAGATAGCATTACCGTGAACCATTGATCAGTTCTTTTGAAACAGTATACTAGGAAATTTTGAAGAATTATTATAGATGGTTAAATCATTTTTTGACTACTATCATTTTTTAGGTGTGACTTGTGGAAGCTTTAATTTCGTGGGTCCACTAACAAATACTTGTAGTAACGTTTGTTTAAGTAGAATTGAAAAGTTCTTCATTTACTTTATAATGACTATTAGGGTGAGCATTTCAGTTTTTCATTTTTGACTCGGAATTTGTCAGGAATTGGTTTGCTATAGAGATAGTGTTTAGATTTGGAAAGCAAGTTTAGTAATCAAAGTAATTTAATAGAGATAAAAGTACAGGGAGAATTATGGCTCAACTTTAGGGACTGAGTAACTTTAATACTTTAATTCTAGTAAGTTTATTAGTTAAACAATGTAAAGACCTTGTGTAACATTCTAGAGCTGGCTTGTAAAAAGATGTAGGGGATATTTGGCAGGTCGTAATGGTTGCTGTTACTACTAATATATACAAGTGCTTTTCAAATTAGAGGTAACGATGAAGTCCTTCATTCACTTTAAGAACTAAGTAGCTTTCTCTTGTACCAAAACCTGCTACAATCTAAGCTAAAGCGAACATTTCACCTTTCCTTGTTGTTGAAAAACCAGATATTTAAACCAGAATGAATTAGGTGAATTCTTCACCATCTCTGGAAGAACAGTTCTATTCATGCAGTCATAGCATATGATGAGTAGAAAGCACAGCCATGTCTGTCTGGATAAACTGCCAAGTTTTAAGCCAGAAACAGTATTCATTAAGATATTGCAAATCAGGTTGTAAACTGGATTTCAGTTTTTAAACTGGATTTTTTCACTTTCTATATGCATCTTTATATAAAATAATGAGTAAATTATATAAAATTAACTCTGAAATATTGTTTTCTTCTTTTTAGATCACTATAAACAAAATTTCCACAAGAGAAAATGTTGAAATAGGAGTTGCGGATACATTGGATATACTGGATGAAATACAAGCGGTTAATTTTTGTAACGTGAGGGAAAAGCCCACATTGCTGGTTACATGTGTAAATCACTGCGTTATTGCTTTAGTCATTGTCTCTATTTAGCAATGACAAGACTGGAAGAAGTAAATAGAGAAGTGAACATGCATTCTTCAGTGCGGTATCTTGGCTATTTAGCCAGAATCAATTTATTGGTTGCTATATGCTTAGGTCTATACGTAAGATGGGAAAAAACAGCAAATTCCTTAATTTTGGTAATTTTTATTCTTGGTCTTTTTGTTCTTGGAATCGCCAGCATACTCTATTACTATTTTTCAATGGAAGCAGCAAGTTTAAGTCTCTCCAATCTTTGGTTTGGATTCTTGCTTGGCCTCCTATGTTTTCTTGATAATTCATCCTTTAAAAATGATGTAAAAGAAGAATCAACCAAATATTTGCTTCTAACATCCATAGTGTTAAGGATATTGTGCTCTCTGGTGGAGAGAATTTCTGGTTATGTCCGTCATCGGCCCACTTTACTAACCACAGTTGAATTTCTGGAGCTTGTTGGATTTGCCATTGCCAGCACAACTATGTTGGTGGAGAAGTCTCTGAGTGTCATTTTGCTTGTTGTAGCTCTGGCTATGCTGATTATTGATCTGAGAATGAAATCTTTCTTAGCTATTCCAAACTTAGTTATTTTTGCAGTTTTGTTATTTTTTTCCTCATTGGAAACTCCCAAAAATCCGATTGCTTTTGCGTGTTTTTTTATTTGCCTGATAACTGATCCTTTCCTTGACATTTATTTTAGTGGACTTTCAGTAACTGAAAGATGGAAACCCTTTTTGTACCGTGGAAGAATTTGCAGAAGACTTTCAGTCGTTTTTGCTGGAATGATTGAGCTTACATTTTTTATTCTTTCCGCATTCAAACTTAGAGACACTCACCTCTGGTATTTTGTAATACCTGGCTTTTCCATTTTTGGAATTTTCTGGATGATTTGTCATATTATTTTTCTTTTAACTCTTTGGGGATTCCATACCAAATTAAATGACTGCCATAAAGTATATTTTACTCACAGGACAGATTACAATAGCCTTGATAGAATCATGGCATCCAAAGGGATGCGCCATTTTTGCTTGATTTCAGAGCAGTTGGTGTTCTTTAGTCTTCTTGCAACAGCGATTTTGGGAGCAGTTTCCTGGCAGGTAAGCTTATTGTTTGTCCAGCAACCCCAATGACGTGTAATAAAATGCTAGCTTCAATAATTGAAATTAAAGTTATAAGGTCAAGTTCCTGATTTCAAAAGGATATTCATGTTTGCTCTTAATTTTGTTCATGGAATTGAAGCACTGAATGTGTTTCAAGAGGATAATTTATTTGATCTCTAGCAAAGAGGTACCAAAATGTTATGAACACTCAGCGTTGAGATGCCTCCCGCTTCCTGACTGTTCATTAGTGAAACACTCATCGATTAAAGAGTCTTAGAATACTAACATTTGGAAAGTATTTAAAGATTGTATTTTGATCCTTTAATTATACCCATGAGGAAACTGAAAGCCAAAGAAGACACATCCAGAGTCACTAGTACTAGCAGGAACAAGGTTACTTAACTTCTGTCTATTCCCTGGACTCCTCACTGTAACATGTTTCTTTTATGCAGCCATTTCTCTGAAGGTTTTATATAAAAGGTGATCAGATATATAACAACATAGCAGGTTCTTAATTATAGATTAGAGGTTATCCTAAGAAAGAAAACATGGGTTTCACAGTACCTTTGCTGCCCAGAAATGTTTTCTAAAAGGTTCTTGTAGACAAAGACATTTGTACAGTTGGAGTTTGCATCTGCAGTATTAACAAACCCAGTCTTCCATTAATTGAGCATGTATTGACTATGCACTATATGCCAGGCACTATAGTGGGTGCGGAAGATCTCAGGATGTCTGTCAAAGGTGGCACAGTCTCCAATGGGAGGAGGAAGAGGCTGGCATGTAAACAAACAATTATGATTACAGTGTGATAAATACTATAATCTGTGTACATCAGACTGGGATGTGGGGCATAAAGGAAAGTCAGCTCTGCTTGGTGCAGCTCTCTGTAAGAGTTTGTTGCTGCTGACTGATTTCTAGAGGAAAGTCAGCTCTGCTTGGTGCAGCTCTCTGCTTTGTAACAGTTTGTTGCTGCTGAGTGATTTCTAGAAGTGTGTTTTGAAGAGGGAGATGTGAAGACTTGCCTGGACATGGTGCTAGATTTCTAGTCAGCTGGGCTAGGGCAGGGATCCTGTGTGGGAGTCAGCCAAATGAGGAAAACATCTTGGGTGTGGCCTGAGGATATTGTCCTTACTTTGCTCTACTTGCTGGTGTTAGGTACTGTCAGAATTATGTTGTTGATGTCAAAAACTCAAGCATGAGTTTTCCTCCCTCTTCCTTGCCCCTCCTCCTGCTAGCTCCTTTCCCAGCCCTAAATACTTTTTCTTTTCCAAGTCAGCCTCATTCATGCTGGATGCCATTCCAGGCTTTCAAATTCTGTTAACCAAATATGAATATTTTCTTGGTCTCCAAACTTTTTCTTACCTAGTGGTCTTCAGATATGGTGTGTACCACTGGAGGTACACAAAAACTTTCCAAGGAGTCTGTCAGCAGAGATAATTTTAAGAGAATCAGTTTCCTGATTCTCACCTTCCATTCTACTCTTTCCTAAAGTTGATCTACTTGAGAATCCCTTTAGCTGTAGGTGATAGCATTGTGGTTTTAATTTATGTCTCTAATGACTAATGATGTTGAGCATCTTTTTATGTGTGTATTAGCCATTTACTTTGTTGTTTAAATATTCACATCTTTTGCTCATTTTAAAGCTGAGGTTATTTGTCTTTTAAGAGTTCCTTATATATTCTGGATACGAGCCCTTTGTCAGATAAATGATTTGGAAATGTTTACTCCCAGTCTGTGGCTTCTGTTTTTATTTTCTGAATGATACAAATTTTTGAAGAGTTTTCAAGAGTAAAGGTTTTTAATTTTACAGAGTCCAGTTTATCCACTTTTTCTTTTATGGGCTCTGCTTTTAGTATCTTATCTAAGAATTCTTTGCTCAACACTAGGTCACAGTTCTTTCAAAAGCATTATTGTTTTAACTGTTACATTTAGGTGTATGATCCATTTTGAGTATAGTATGAGATAAGGATCTAAGTTTGTTTTTTTTTTTTTAATATATAGATCTCATTGTTCCCAGCACCATTTGTTGAAAAGATTAACATTTCGCCTATTGAATTGCCTTGGCGTCTTTGTTTAAAATCAGTTAAACATAAACGTAAGGTTGTATTTTTGAGTTTTTTTGTTATATTGACCTATATGTCTACCATTGTGCTAGCACTATGCCATCTGGTGAGATGTTTTCTAATTTCCTTTGAAATTTCCTCTTTGACTCATGGGTTATTTATAAGTTTGTTGTGTGATATCCTAATATTTGGAAGTTTCTCACATTTCTTTCCATTGATTTCTAATTCCATGTAGTTGGAGAACACTGTGTGATTTTAGTCTTTTAGGCCACTTGTTTTGTGGCATGGCATGTTTTATTCCATGTTCACTTGAAAATAATGAGTCCTCTGTTGTTGGGTACAGTGTACTATAAATATCAGCTAGATTAAGTTGGTTGGTGGTGGTGTTCATGTATCTATAGCCTTGTTAATTTTCTGTCTAATTCTGTAATACTGAGAGAGATGAAAATCTCTATTATAGTTCCTGAATTGTCTACTTGCTTTTTCAATTCTGTCTTTTTTTTTTTTTGCTTCTTTATTTTGAAGCACTGTTCCTAGAGGTAAATGCATGTTTGTTATATCTTCTTACCATATTAACTCTTGTAATTATGGTAAACAGCATAGTTGAGTAGTTAAAACAGAGATTGTATGGCCTGCAAAACAAAATATTAACTATCTGTGCCCCCGTTTTTTTTTTTTTTTTTTTTTTGATACGGATCATGTATTTGTGTGACCACCACTACCACAGTCAATTTGTAGAGCAGTTAAATCACTGCCAAAATTCCCTCTTGCTTCCTTGTAGTCAGTCCTTCTCCCAACCCCAGGTACTTGGCAACCTGTTTTCCGTTCCTAGACATTTTCCTTTTCCAGAATGTCATATTCGTAAAATCATTTAACATTGTAGTCTTTTGAGCCTGACTTTTGTTTTTGAGACAGGGTCTTGCTCTGCAGTGTGGGCTAGAGTACAATGGTACAATCATGGCTCACTGCAGCCTCGACCTCCTGCGCTCAAGCAGTCCTCCCTGCCTTGGCCTTCCAAAGTGCTGGGATTATAGGTGTGAGCCACTGCACCTGGCCCTGAGTCTGACTTCTTATTTAAATCATTTGAGATTCATCTGTGTTGCTGTGTGCCATCAGTAAGTTAGTTACTTTTATTGTGAGCAATATCCCATTGTATGGATGTTCCAGTTTATCCCTTACTCAGTTGAGAGACACTGAAATTATTTGCAGTTTTTTGGTAATTATGAATAAAGCTGCTATAAACCTTTGTAGACAAGGGTTTGTGTTAACATAAGCTTTTATTTTAGTGTGATGTGGGATTGCTGGGTCATGTGGAAAGCATTTCTTTTAACTTTATACTGCCATACATATGTATTTCTAATCTACAGAATAAGCTCATGACATAAATTATCTCTGTATATATTCCAGAAATCAAGACTCAAAAGGTTAATTAACTTATTCGTGTACACATAGCAAGTGGCTGAGCTGGGATTGAACAAAAGTCTAACTCCGAAGCTTGGGTCCTTTCCACTATGCCCTACTTCTTCCACGTAAAGAAGTCATTTGACTTTAAAATTATACAGTAGCCTTCATAATGTTCTTAAATTTCCTGAAACAAGCAAAGTTTTGAAAGTCGCCTGTGGTTTCTTAAAGCTGGATTTCTCACAGTCTCTCCATTTATATATTGCCGCATTTACGTATACTGTTTCTTAGTTGGGCTTTACTTTCTTTAGACTTCTATGTATGTTTTCCAAATCTGGTTTGCATAAGGTGACTCATACAAGAATGCTTCTAAACAAACAAGCCGTATATGTTTATGTAAATGTTACATTTTAAAAATGACATTGCATAAAGAAATTTTGTTCCTGTTATCTGAAAAATTTTAGGATATGAAACATTGAATACTTTGACCATGACTTGAAAGCCCAGCTGAATAGAGATCTAATAACTAGTAACAACTTTTATTCAAAGGGCATTACTTACAGGTTGTTTATTGGTCTTCTTTTGTGCTCAGTTTATATCTGCTCTGAAATATGAGCCATGTCTTAAAATTTGATAATGAGCTGAGGATAATTTGGAGAAGCAAAGGAGAATAAGTACTTGTAGGCTTGAATCAATTGATCTTATTTGTTACTTGGAATTAAGGTGTAAGGAGTACTCCAAAGTCACAAATGACTTCTAGATTGAAGCTATAGAATAAAGGTTTGCAGGCCAATAAAATTGAAGCTCTCTGAAAGTGGCAAGCAGACAAAACATCCTAAATTTATTTTGGCTTCCCCTGGACATACTTGCCATCTGTTCAGTTAAGATTACGAATTTTTGTATTGCCAAAATACTAACTTGTGTGTGATCATAATAGAATATTTAATACTGTTTTTCTAAGCTTGCTTTTTCAAAATAACCTAATAGAAGTACTTAATGATTTTTTCCTGATAAATTTGCTTTCTAAAAATGTATGACAGGGCCAGGCATGATGACTCACATTTGTAATTCCAGCAGTTTGGGAGGCCAAGGCAGGAGGATTGCTTGAACCCAGGAGTTTGAGACCAGCCTGGGCAACATAGGGAGACCTTGTCTCTACAAAAATAAAAAAATTAGCCAGGCATGGTGGTGCATGTGCCTGTGGTCCCAAGCTACTTGGGTGGCTGAGGTGGTAGGATCACATGAGCCTGAGAGGTCAAGGCTGCAGTGAATCGTGATCATGCCGCTGCACTCCAGCCTGGACGACGGAGTGAGACCCTGTCAATCAGCATAAAATTCTCAGTTTCTAAGATTTTTTAATATAAAAAGCAAGTAGTAACAGATCATCTGTTATTTATGAGTTGTGATCAATAGACCCCTAAATATCTACTTATTTAGTCTACTGTATCAAATATCATCATCAATGTTGCAAAACCAACATTAGGGTATTGAATAACATCACTATCAATTAACATTTTAATTGGAATTTTGAATTATTAGGCTTTTCATTTAAGTCATCTACAAATTGATTGACAATTGAACTTTATCATTTGCTTAGTTCACTGCTAAATCAAACTGTTTAATACTTTTTTCTAATAGTAAAAACATACTGAAGATTGAGAAGCACTGGTTTAGAAAAAATATGTAAATATATAAAATGTAATAGCCTGGAAATCAATCAGAAAATTGGAACTGATTCCATTTGTAAGAACAGAAACATAAAATAAGTTTTAAACTTATAAAACTTTTATTTTAAAATTACTACAAACCTCAATGTAGGTTATAAAAGAAGACTTCAATAAATGGAAAAACACACCATACTTCCTGGGATGAAAAGACTCAATGCGGTGCCTTGCAGGCATTTGTATACATAGAGGAAACTGTTTTCAAAGCTGAGCTGCACTTTTGGTCCCCTCAAGAGTGGCAAAAATAAAAGCCAAGCCCAGGGCCTCCAGAAGTGAGATCTCTGGTAAATTACCTCCCATTTTACGCTTACACACTGAAAGAAGAGGGTGGAGCCATGTGTGTTATAGCCCTCTCATGAACTTGCTTTCTGCCCTTGTGTCCTGTTGGTGGTTCAACCTGGGATTAAGTGGTCAAACCTGAATTAAGATATGTAGACTCGTAATGTCCGCAGCTCTCTGGAAGAAACAGATTGCCTCTAGGAGAAGGTATCATTATCCTAGGCCTAAAGTTAATAATAATATAATTTTTATATCCAGTGTTCAGCTTATAAATTTAACCAGGTACACACACACACACACACACACACACACACACACACACACACACACACACACACACAGCACCAAGAGCAAGAAGCAGCAAAACCAACAGACAACAGAAAAAAATCTTTAGGTATTGGAATTATCAAACAGAAAACCATCATGCTAAGTTGCAAAAGTAAAAGGAGAGATCAGGACATAATGGTAGTACACTGGAAACTTTAAAAAATGACAAGGCAGATTTTACAAAGAACTAAATAGAAATTTAGATCAGGAAATAAATTATTTCAGTGTTGCAAACATAACATTAGACAAAGCTGAAGTGGGCATTAGTGAACTGGAAGATACAGTTCAGAAGAAGCTATATAAGCAGCAGCATGAAAGAGCAGTATGGAAAATACTGAACAGAAGGAAAGGATAAGACTCAGAGGATATGGTAAGAAGATCTCATATTTTATAAGAGTCTCAAAAATAGAGGGAAGAAATGAAGGCCAAAGGAAATATGTGAAAGAATAAAAAATAGAACAACAGAACAGAAGAAGAGAGACCAAAAACAGGTCCATGAATACTTATGACAAAAGTGGCACTGTAATGTGGAGTGGTTGATATTTTCAGTAATTTGTGCTTGAACAATTGAGTGTTTCTGTAGAAGAAAAAATTGGACCATTATCATAAAATCAGTTATATTTGGATTATAGTTTTAAATGTAAAGGCAAAACAATAAAGCCTTTAGAGGATAATGTTAAAATATCTTCTTAATGGTTGGATAGAGGGATTTTTTTTAACAAGGCATAAAGTGACTATATTATAATTAAGAACTCATGTTAAGCAAAAAACAGCATTAAGGTAGTCACAGAGTCACCAACAAAAGACTTTCATTGAAACTATGTTCAGAACCAAACAAAACTAAATCAGTGAAGAAAAGGTCAACCCCATAGAAAGGTGGGCAAAATATTTAACACTTCATCAAAGATGATACCCACATAGTGAAAGGTACTTAACCTCATTAATAATCAGAACTTGATATTTATTCTAGTTTTGGTGTAATGGCAAACTGTAAGCAATTTAAATACCAATAATGGGATCCACTAATTAAAGTTTTATATGTATCATAGGAATGCCATTTGGTCTTTACAAGTGATTTAGAGTAATGTAAGCTTAAATTAAAATGTTGATAGATTATGTATCCCATTTTGGTAAAAAAAAAAAACATACACATGAATATGTATTTGTGAAAAATACATTGCATGAAGTCTGGGAATATTTCAGAGTAGCTGTGCGTATAGATGATGGTATTTGGAATGATTTTAATCACATATCTTTTTTACTTATTTGTATTTTCTAGTGTTTTTAAATGGAGCATGTACTGTGTTATTTATGTCATTGACAAAATAGGATGTACCAAAATAGGGCAGTATATTCATTTTTCTATTGCAGGAATTAATTTTTTTATTAAATTTTGATCAAGTGAACCACCCCTTAGTGTTAAAAGTATGTGTTCATGCACCTAGGCATATAGTATGTGCAGTAGCAATACCGGAAGAATGTAATAGTTTAATATTCTAAAGAAATGTTCAAGTGACTATCCATTTTCTTTTCACTTAAATGAGTCTTAATTTTTTCTGCTTTTTCATTGCAGTTAATACCTGATTGCCTCCTCCTTATTTCTTCTGCCTGTCTACTTTCCATTCTGCTTTTACAATGCTTATATGTCCTTAATATTTTCTTCTGTTAAATTTTGATTGCACATCTAGAGAGTTCAGTGCTTTATAAGGTAAACTATATCATATAAACGGAATTCGTTTTTATAGCTTTAGGGTCTTAAATTTCCTTAAGAACTTATACAGAAAGAAAGTAATAGAGAAAGAATACAGAAAGCATATAGAAAAAAGTAATAGTTTAATATTCTAAAGGTATGTTCAAGTGACTATCCATTTTCTTTTCACTTAAATGAGTATTTTTTCTGCTTTTTCATTGCAATTAATACCTGATTGCCTCCTGCTTATTTCTTCTGCCTGTCTACTTTCCATTCTGCTTTTACAATGCTTACGTGTCCTCAATATTTTCTTCTGTTAAAATTTTGAATTTGCACATCTAGAGAGTTCAGTGCTTTATAAGGTAAACTATACCATATAAACGGAATTAGTTTTTATGGCTTTAGGGTCTTAAATTTCCTTAAGAATTTACTTTCATAATTTCATGGGGAAAAAATGACCCCTTTCTAAAGCACTCTTTTTGATAAAGTAAATAAATCTGTTATTTGAAAAATGACATAGGCATGTGGGTTTTAACAAGATATTTGTTTTCTGGCATTTTCTCTGTTATATCAAAGAGTGGTTTTGGTTTGTTTTGTTTTTTTTTTTTTTCTCGTCTGGATAGGATGTTATTTGACAATTCTTTTTTAAAAATGATGTGCCGTGTTTTGCCACAACTTCCAAAAAACTAAGAGATAAATTTAGGATTTATTGCACTAGTTAGCTCATCCATGTATACGTGTCTGCTTTAACTGAAAATTGTTTTTAGATCATTAATTGTTCCTTTTATCCTTTTTGAAAGTAGAAGCTAAAAAATGTGAATCAATGTGCATGCATGTAAATATATACACATATGTACATGTACTATGTAAACATGTTTTGGATTTCTTTTAGCCAACAAATGGAATTTTCTTGAGCATGTTTCTAATCGTTTTGCCATTGGAATCCATGGCTCATGGGCTCTTCCATGAATTGGGTAACTGTTTAGGAGGAACATCTGTTGGATATGCTATTGTGATTCCCACCAACTTCTGCAGGTACAGTAATCTAGTATAGTTAGTGATAACTATTCACTTCATAACATTTTCTTAATATTTATATGAATAAAATATAGCTCCTTTTCAAAACTGTTTTCAAAATATAACTTGTGCATTTCTTCCAAATTTTTAACAAACTTTATTCCAAGTGATAATATCTTCAGAGTTAAATTGAAATATTTTGATAAATATGATAAGCTTATATTTTAGCTAGAAACCAGAAAATATTCATGAATAACTTTTCTAAGGAAAGATCTTACCCTAAAGGGAATATTTTGTTAAGAAAGTGTCCTCTGGCTGGTCGTGGTGGCTCACACCTGTAATCCCAGCACTTTAGGAGGCCGAGGCGGGCGGATCACCTGAGGTCAGGAGTTCGAGACCAGCCTGGCCAACATGGTGAAACCCCATCTCTACTGAAAATACAAAAATTAGCCAGGTGTGGTGGCAGGTACCTGCAATCCCAGCTACTCAGGAGGCTGAGGCAGGAGAGTCACTTGAACCTGGGAGGCGGAGGTTGCAGTGAGCTGAGATAGGGCCATTGCTCTCCAGCCTGGGGGATAAGAGCAAGACTTCGTCTCAAAAAAAAAAAAGGAAAAAAGCAAAAGAAAGTGTCCTCTGAAGCAACATAGTGAAATATAGTAAAACGTGCTCTGGGCCTGAGAGGCTGGAGGTCTAGTTCTTTGTTACCTTTGGTACACTATAACTACTCTGAACCTTATTATCTGTCTTTGCCTAAAATGTATATAGTGATAACTCTTCTGTTCATCTGACAGGAATGGTATGAAGCACTAAAAAAAAAAAAAAAAAAAAAAAAAATGTAAAAACACTCTGCACACTGAAAAATGCCATACAAATACTAGGAATTCAGAGGATTGGCAGTGAAGTTTAATAAATGTTTATTGCAGTTTTATTCCAAAATAACTTTTACCCACAAAGGTGGTGACATCTGTATAAATCTGTAAATGTTGCTACATTTTGATTTTTATTTTATAGCTAACTACCTTTAAAATAATTCTTTGCCATAAATGAATTCTGATGACAGTTTTCATCACACTTTCCCTGGGGGAGAGGAGAGTGGAAGTAAAGTTTTTTCCCAATTTCAAGTATTTGACATAAAAATCTCCAAATAGACTATTTGTAGGAAATATTTTCCTTCGTTAAAGACTTAATACAAAGTTGAAGGTTTAAGAACTGAAGGAAACAGATTTGGAAATGTCACATAAAGTGAGAAATGACAACCTTGTAGAAAGAATGTGTGGAAATAGTAATATGCACAGTTAGATATTTATTCCATTGTAATTTTTTTAATGTATTCCTTACTCTTTTGTGACTGTAATGAAAAAAAGTTAGTAGAATAGTACTGATGATATATGAAGCAAAATCTAACGTTTTCAAAAATCCCGATAGAAATCCCTTTTCTGGATAGGAATGATGATTTTTTCTTTCTCAATATTAATGGTATTTTGCTAGTTATAAGACTTGCTTTATCATCTTTGTACTAGAGTACCATTTTATATTTGTTCTAGGAGTAAATCTAAGTCTTCAACTAGTGTCCAGTGGTATAAAGCAATGGACCTAAATTTTAATAACTTTTTAAATGCCTATTAATAGATAATTTCTTCTATTATTTATGTACCTTAAGTTAATAAAATTTGAACACAATTTTATTGACTATTTTTCAATACAGAAGTAAATATATAATTAAAATATTGCTTTTTTATTTTGTGTTATAATATTTTTAAAGAAGTTTTTTTAATAGTCCCCACCCAGATGTTCTTGAAACAGTGTAATCCTGCTTTTAAAAAACCTTGTCCAATATTTGTCATGTAAGAAAATACGAATAAGGAACAAAGAGTAATACTATCTACATTTGGAGACATTATCCCAGCTTTTAATTTGATTATTGTTTTAATGATAGTAAATATAATATTTAGAAACCAGGTTTTGATTTTCTAAGCTTAATTCTCAGTACTATAGGAATTTTAGAAAGGGTGATTTTTTACAAAAATCCTGCCACTTAGCAGCAACTATATTATAACTGATTCTTAGATAATCAGTTACAAATGACAGATGAGAATGTGATATAGAATGAGTACTTCTTGTTTTTTCTCCTACTTCAGTCCTGATGGTCAGCCAACACTGCTTCCCCCAGAACATGTACAGGAGTTAAATTTGAGGTCTACTGGCATGCTCAATGCTATCCAAAGATTTTTTGCATATCATATGATTGAGACCTATGGATGTGACTATTCCACAAGTGGACTGTCATTTGATACTCTGCATTCCAAACTAAAAGCTTTCCTCGAACTTCGGACAGTGGATGGACCCAGACATGATACGTATATTTTGTATTACAGTGGGCACACCCATGGTACAGGAGAGTGGGCTCTAGCAGGTAAACTCACCTTTGGCAGTTTCACTATTGTAAAGATACACATGTATATGTAGAAATCTGTACTTCACACACAGTCGTTAAATTTCCAGGATTCTTAGTTTACTGAACTATGCATATGACTCTAATTTGTTTTTCTTTGCTCTAGCATACCTGTTTAGCCTAATTTAATCTCTAATGATAAGATTGGGAATTACGTCTTATAGTGATTAGAAGGAAAAAAATGCTTTGAGACTTACAGTTTCCCTTAAAATATTTTCAGAATTGCTAAACATATTTTTCAGAAGCTGATAAACTCCTTTGACTAGTATCTTTAAGTTTTTAAATGTTATGGATGCAGATTTCAGTAGTCCTTCACATCTGTAGTTTTATTTATGTTATAAAGCTCACCAAAATTTTAAACAGCAGATCATGTAGTATGGTGGGAGTAGCACTTAGGTCAGGAGACCTTGGTTCTGGTCCTAATTTGCCACAGCTGTGTTATTTTAGGCAAGTTAGTTAACTTCTGTTGGCTTCAATTTTCTCATCTGTAAAATAAGGGGGTAATTGTAAATGACCATTGAGTTTTATTCTAAGGTACAAAATTCTGTAGGGATTTTTTTGCATTTGAAAAAACATAAAATAACTTTGGTTTGCATGCATTATGGGAAATAGAAAACTTCTTAGTTATTGCCAAGAGAGAAATGAGATCTCTTTATATCATATATAAATTTGTCAGTCTTTCCAACTATTAATAGAGAGAAAGTCAAGGGCTTTGTTTTATCAACTGTTACTTGTTTAGGACCTATAACAGAGCCCAATACATAGTAGAGGATCCTTAAGTAGCTGATAGATAGATGAAATCATTGAATAAATCATTAAAAAAGGTAATTTTCTTATTTTAGATTAGAAATAGTTATTTTAGATTTAATTACATGATTTTTTTTTCCATAAAAGTGTAGATGTTTTAAACCAAGAATATATAAATAATAAAATAGTCATAAATAAAGTGGAAACATTCAGGATAAAGAAAAAGATAAATAGAAGTAGTATGGAAGGACAGAGGCAGAGTTGCCAATATAAGAACTCCAGAAAGAGACAAACAAAAAGGTTAAGGTAGAGATGATTTTAAACTAGCATGATCTCATTGATTTCATGCCAGATTTGTAACTGAGGTTTTTATCATAAGGAGAAATATTTTTTTGAAATTTTTCTTTTTTGCAAATAAATATTGAATAACTCAGTGGCCTTCTAGTAGAAAGACAAGCTAATATTTATTGGGTACATTTTAAGCATCAGCTTACTGTACTTAGTACCTTACACACATTGTTAATCTTTATGTGAAATCCTTTGAGATAGATACCATCACTTCTGTTATCTTCATTTTTCAAACGATGAAATGGAAATTGAAAGTTGTTATGTAACTTATCTGTGGTCATACCACTATGTGATAGAACCATGATTTAAGACCAGATCTGCCTGATTCCTAAAGTGTATTTTTCCCCCCACTCTACCATGTTGCCTCCAAGGGTGAAAGCCATGATGATAAAGGAATGGCATGTTCTGGTTAAGTGGATATTTTTGTTAACATGGGTCACCCATTTCAAAACATTAGAATGTACAAGACTAAAAGATGCACTGAACATTAAAACTAATTGAATATAGTTTATAAAATCATTTACTTGACCTATAACTTTTTAATTACAACGTAGAAAGCATCTTTTTAACCTTTATGGCTACTTCAGTTTCAGGTAAAGTATAACGTTCTGTGTATTCCAACTCAGAGCACAAGAGAAAGCTTTTAGTCAATTAAAATAGCCTTTACAGAAATAGAATTTTAGATCTAAAAGCAGAGATTGCTGAAACTTACTATAATCCTTATGATAATAAACTCTACCCAGATCAAATGGAAAAAACAGGGCTAATTTTTGGTGGCCATGCATATATCCCTAGTTATTTTAAAGTGTTAGAGTAATTTTAGAAGTAAGCTTTTTATGTGTGTTTATATGAAGGATTTATTACTTAATAGAAACACTTTTCAAAAAGTTTGCATTTTTCTTAAGTAATTTAAAATTCATTAAGTATTTCTTAAAGATAGCTATGGAAATCAATTCTAGATGTTCATTTACTAATACTTATATCAGCTTTTTATTTTTCTAAGAAAAGTAAAAACACTAAGATAAACACACACACACATATATATATCTCTCGCAGTTTTTCTAAATTTTCATTCACTGTTAGGAATAATTTTTGAAGACTTTAAGAACACTAAAATAGAGTTGTATTTTAGGTAAATGTTTAGCAGTTACATTCTAGAATGATGTCTTTATAATTTTTTTGAAGTATGCTACCAGTAAATTGACCGTTACAGAATTCCTCTGTTAGCTAAGATTTGTTCTTGTGTAACTTTGAGGCTTATTATAAGAAGTTTAAAAAAAAGAGAGAGAAAGCATACTGATCTCCCTTCCCTGAGAAAGGTAGATTTTATCTTATAATTCAGCAACTGCATACTGTCATGCATGGCCTGAGGCATCTCGCATACTTGTGGGTAGTCAGGTTGAACCAGGCCCAGAAAAGCCCGCTTTTCAGTTAGTTCATGCCCTGGCCTGCTTTAGACGTAGTCCTCAAGGGCTGATTCTGCCTCACAAATAGTATTGAATATCTCTGCTCTGAGGAAAATACTTTCATCTATTCCAAATTAAGTGACAAAGAGCTTTAAGCTCTGCTAATTTATTAATAGTTGGGGATTTTTTGTTTTGTTTTTTGTTGTTTTTTCAGCAAACTTTGAAATAGGAAACATCACAACTGGATTTTACTTGGGTTAGCAAGTTGATAGCAGGCCCAGTATTAATATCGCTGTGGGAAAGAGAATCTATATTTGCCCTTTATCCCATACCTTCACTCACAGTAGTTAGAATATGTAGTCTTCTTATATTTATGGAGTTTCATGATATGGAACCTAATATTTTTGCCTCTGCTTGAGGATAGAAAACAATTATGGTAATTACAGGAGAGACAGAAATAAATGGAAAAAATGTAGATAATTTATAAAGCAGTTTATTACAAATAAAACCTTTAAAAAGCAGTCTCAATTACTTAAAATGCATCAGATGGATATTAGCTTAGATAAATGTAAGTACTTTGAATCTGGGCCAAAAGCCAAATGTAGCATAGAACCTATTCATAGGAGAAAGCAGAGCAAAACAAGAGAAATTGTTTAGAAAGCTTTAATGCTGCTTTAGGTCTCGTTGATATCTAAAGAGCATTTATATAAGAGAATTAGGGTAGAATATGCTCAAGAATGTTTATTGAAATAGTTGTGGATGGCATGTTGGGCAATGATGTTTTGTGGCAGATGGAATTTACATAATAGTTCTTGTAATCTGTGTCATCTTCTGATCTCTAGAGAAATTTAATAGAGCTGACAATAATGGAGAGTTAACATTTGGCCATTTTTGAAAAAGTATCTTTTGGAGGTATCAGTGGAATAACACATTAGTAATATGTGGAGACAATGTACTGAAATAGTGTCTCTGAGATAATATGTGTGAGTGTTAGAGCGATTAATAAAAAAAGTTTATTTTCAGGTTCTTAAGCTTACTGATTAATAAAACATTAATAAATGACACATAAAGAATATGATAGAATCCCAATTCTAAAGGATTCTCTCTCTGGTGGTGTCCATTTTTAATGGTGAAACCAAGAGGACAGTTGATTTGGGGAAAATGTTGGGTCTTGTGCTGGTAAATTGTAAAAGTAACTTATGCTCAATGTAAAACTGTCAGAAAAATATTTTAAAAACCACATGGAAGTGAAACACCCAGCAATAGCTGCTGTTATAATTTTTGTAGATGTACTGTCATGCTTTTTCTAATATAGACATTTTCTCATCAATAAATTTTCTTTATAAATATTTTGTTATAAGATTTCCTCCTAAGGTTTTAGGCCATAGTTCATTTCCATTTCCCAAATGGGAAGGTCGTCTTTTTTTGTAATTTTTTGTCCCTATGTCTGTTCTTTCCTTAAGATAGATTCGTAGAATTGGAATGATCGTTATCAGTGTACCATTGAGACAGGGCCAGATGAGGTGAGGGTGGCAGTTGCCTCAGGCACAAAACATAAGGGAATGCCAAAAAACTCAATAATCAAAATGAATATTTTAATGTAGTATACTTAAAAATCAAAATTAATGCAAAAAAATAACGAGATGTAAAACCTGTAGTCAGAAGTTTATTTACTTTAGAACTTTCTGGGTATATATATTTTTTTAATCCCTTGTTCTTCAGCTATAAAACTGATTTAAATGTAAATCTGTTCTTAAACTCATTCTTGTACAGGTAGGAACAGGGTTTATTTTCATTCAATAGGTACCTACATATGAGGAAGAGAAGGAAACAATGATACAGAATGGGGAGGCAAACTTTTTCTGTAAAGGGCCAGATATTTTTGGCTTTGTGGGTTTAGATGCCTGTTGCAGCTATTCAGCTCTGCTACTTTAGAGCAATAGCAGCCATAGACGGTATAAATGAATGAATGTAGTTGTGTTCCAATAAACTTATTTATGAAAATAATTATATGAAACAAATTGCATACAGTTTTTACTATCACAAAATATTCTGATTTTCTTTCAACCATGTGAAAATATAAAATCAATTCTTAGCTTTCAGGCCATACAAAAAGAGGTGGCAGGCTGGATCTGGCCCATGAGTTGTAGTTGCTGCCCCTGGTGTAGAATGTTAGCTTTTCTGTATAGTTGTTTTCACTAAATACAACTGTGTAAAACTATTTCCTTAATTTTATACTAGCAGATTCCTTTTTATGTGAGTAATAAGGATTTTTTTTACCTCAAGTTGAAAATCTGTTGTAAAAAATATCTTTTCAAAAGATACTTTGAAAGTGTCATTTAAATACTTTATTTTTTTGCTTATTTAATTCTAAGAACTTAAGGAAAATACATGTATAACAAGAGTATTTTCTCTCTAGAAGAAAATGATTAAGAGGGTTTTCTTAATGAGAGGCTGCAGAAATTATTGCTCCATTGAATTTTCTCTTGTTCACAGGTGGAGATACACTACGCCTTGACACACTTATAGAATGGTGGAGAGAAAAGAATGGTTCCTTTTGTTCCCGGCTTATTATCGTATTAGACAGCGAAAATTCAACCCCTTGGGTGAAAGAAGTGAGGAAAATTAATGACCAGTATATTGCAGTGCAAGGAGCAGAGTTGATAAAAACAGTAGATATTGAAGAAGCTGACCCGCCACAGCTAGGTGACTTTACAAAAGACTGGGTAGAATATAACTGCAACTCCAGTAATAACATCTGCTGGACTGAAAAGGGACGCACAGTGAAAGCAGTATATGGTGTGTCAAAACGGTGGAGTGACTACACTCTGCATTTGCCAACGGGAAGCGATGTGGCCAAGCACTGGATGTTACACTTTCCTCGTATTACATATCCCCTAGTGCATTTGGCAAATTGGTTATGCGGTCTGAACCTTTTTTGGATCTGCAAAACTTGTTTTAGGTGCTTGAAAAGATTAAAAATGAGTTGGTTTCTTCCTACTGTGCTGGACACAGGACAAGGCTTCAAACTTGTCAAATCTTAATTTGGACCCCAAAGCGGGATATTAATAAGCACTCATACTACCAATTATCACTAACTTGCCATTTTTTGTATGCTGTATTTTTATTTGTGGAAAATACCTTGCTACTTCTGTAGCTGCTCTCACTTTGTCTTTTCTTAAGTAATTATGGTATATATAAGGCGTTGGGAAAAAACATTTTATAATGAAAGTATGTAGGGAGTCAAATGCTTACTGTAAATGCATAAGAGACGTTAAAAATAACACTGCACTTTCAGGAATGTTTGCTTATGGTCCTGATTAGAAAGAAACAGTTGTCTATGCTCTGCAATGGTCAATGATGAATTACTAATGCCTTATTTTCTAGGCATATAATAATAGTTTAGAGAATGTAGACCAGATAAATTTGTTTACTGTTTTAAGAAAACTACCAGTTTACTTACAGAAGATTCTTTTTTCCAAACAGTAGGTTTCATCCAAGACCATTTGAAGAACTGCAAACTCTTTCTCTTAGAAAAGAAAGAGGGCAGCCTAAAATAAACGCAAAATTTGCTTATACTCCATCACATTCAGATGTCTTGGTTGTGACTTATTACCAGTGTGGCAGAGAACCCAAGTTACATTTTAGATCAAAATATTCTTTATGTAGGTATTGTTAAAAGGCTAGAGCCTACAAGTTGCTCTTCCATGCGTTGGTCAGGGGGCCCTGAAAACACTGGTAATATTAAGAGTCTTTCTCAGGGTAACTTAATGTTTTCTTAATGAACAGTGTTTCCAGCTACAAATTCTTCCAATAAATTGTCTTCCTTTTTGAAAAGTACTCTCATAGAAGAAATTTAGCAATTTCTCGTTGACTGACTCAGTCTATTTTAAGTATTCAGAAAAGATTTTGATCCCCATTGAGTTAATGCTCTGCCTTGAAAATTATTTTTCTGATCCTTGTTAGTGATAACATTTTTTTTCTACTGAAGGTCAGAGGATAGGAAACAAGTATTTCTCTTCTGGTATACATGTAATGTATTCTGTAAAAAAGTATTCATATTGGCAATTTTAGTTAGGCATAATATTGTGGTTGTAATTTTTAAAACTTAGTGTTTTGTCTGATTAAAGCAGGCACTGATCAGGGTATCTCCTAAGAGGTAATTCACTTCTTATTCCTTTCCAATAATTATTACATTCTAAATTTTCATCTATGAGAAATAACAAACAAGAAGGGAATAGAATTAAATTGGGGTATAATCTAATCTTCATTGTTTAAATGGTTTGCCTTCTCACCATTGAAGCCATTTTTTTATAGCCTCAGAAAGAGGAAATAATGCCTCCACCATTTTCTACCTGGTGACTTGAAAATTGAACTTTTAAGTTAGGAAGAAGTTAGAGTCAGGGAACTTGTATACCACTATCTATGCAGCATTGTTATAGTCTGATTATTTCTGTGTTTTGAATATGATTTTCCTAATGCTCTAAATAAAATTTTGTTAAAAATTAATTTTTTATTTAATGATGTGCAAATATTGAATATTTTAGTATATTTATTAAAAGTGGTAGTCATTAAAAATGCCCATGTTTTAGAGTTCATGTTTGGAAGTTTCCATTATAGGTTAAGGATTTATATTAGTATTGTCCAAATAAAATAGTATAGTTTTTTTTATTGCTCTGTTCAGCAGTAGGGTAGTAGAAAAGCCAAATGTTAAAATTATGAGCTTTTAGCTTAAAAAAAGTTAATGTTAAGTAAAATCTCCTTTTAAATTTCTCAGCTATTTGTGAGCAGGTTAGCTTTAAAGCATTATCTCTTCACTTTAAGAAAGCCAAATACAAAAGTATATTCTGCATTCTTTATAAGGTAGTATTAAGGTGGTACTAAAAATTACATTTTAAAAACAGCTGACAGTTTGACAGCCACAAACCTAACTTTTTCATATGTATTTCCTGTGAAAGTAAAACCAAAAATGGTCTTTGGGCCAAGAATGTGACTTGAGCCAATTTGTTAACCAAAAATTTATAGAATGTCCACTTTGATGAATTCTCCTACCCAAACAAACAAAAAACAATAAATGACTTTTTGGGATGGTATCACAAAGCTAACATTTTAAAAACAATAACTAGGCCGGGTGCAGTGGCTCACGCCTGTAATCCCAGCACTTTGGGAGGCCTAGGTGGGTGGATCACTTGAGGCCAGGAGTTTGAGACCAGCCTGGCCAACATGGGGAAACCTCATCGCTACTAAAAATACAAAAAAAATTATTAGCCGGGCATGGTGGCAGGTGCCTGTAATCCCAGCTACTTGGGAGGCTAAGGCACAAGAATCGCTTGAACCCGGGAGGCAGAGGTTGCAGTGAGCTGAGATTGTGCCACTGCACTCCAGCCTGGGCGACAGAGCAGGACTCTTTCTTTGTCTCAAAAAAAAAAAAAAGTACATGTTTAGCCAGGCATGGTGGCTCATGCCTGTAATCCCAGCACTTTGGGAGGCCGAGGCAGGTGGATCAAAAGGTCAAGAGATGGAGACCATCTGGCCAACATGGTGAAACCCCATCTCTACTAAAAATAAAAAAATCAGCTGGGCGTGGTGGTGCACGCCTGTAGTCCCATCTACTTGGGAGACTGAGGCAGGAGAATCTCTTGAACCGGGGAGGCAGAGGTTGCAGTGAGCCGAGATTGCGCCACTGCACTCCAGCCTGGCAACAGAGAGAGACTCCATCTCAAAAAAAAAAAGAAACAAACAAAAAAAATAATAAGGGTGTAGAAAAGAAATATTACAAGAAGAATAAAGTGATTGGTTACTTTCACCTAAAGATTGAAAAATAGATCTGACAATGAGACTAATTTGTCTATGGCTGTCATGTTTAAGAAAGAGTTGCTTGGAGTGAAAGGAATTATTTTAGGGCAAAACTTTACCATTCTACTAAAAAGAGGTAACATGGAGATTTTTTCAACATAACTTTGTTTAGTATTTGTTTCCTCATGTGATACCTTGCTAAAACCACAAAACCACTAGCTCTAAAAACATCATCTTTTTTTTCAATAGAATAAAAAAAACAGTATGAATTTATTTTCTTTTTTTAACCATTATTTATTTATTTTAATTTTATTATTATTATACTTTAAGTTTTAGGGTACATGTGCAAATAGCATACACACTGTTGCAAAATAAATAAGGAGCCAAGTTCTTTCTCTCCCCATGACTTTTCAGTTATGCCATCATTTTATTCAAAAATTTTTAGTTTGCTCTGATCTAAACTCTTCCCTGGGAAACTTGGGGTTATATTTCCATAGAATTCTGTCTTGCTCTTAATAAATTCAAAATTCTTTGGAAAAGATGCATTTCAGAGGATTATTCTTATGACCAGTTATGCTTTAAAAAAATTAAAGTCTTAATTAAAATGCACTTATATTTAATGCATTAGTGGGTAGATTTTTGTTTTGAGTAAAATCTTTATTAGAATCTATTTGTAACTGGATATTTTGTAATTTTGGGCTCAAACATATTTACTCTTGGGTACTGCTTTTTTATATGTATTCAAATTTATAGCTTAGTCTCTTTTAAAGTAATATTCTACATTACTTTCCCACAAGTGATGATAGTTAATATAATGTATGCCAGAAGAAAATGATTTAATTTTAAGAATGTGATTAGATATATTTGACAGTAAGTGCTCAAAGGAGTTAGATCTGTCAGTACTTTCGAATGTCTCCTGTATTGGAAACTATTAGACTGTCACCTCTTTTTAGGCAGAGGCTTACACATGTTGGTATTTCTGGTACACAGTTACCGAGAAGAGTGCCTTGTCCGTAATGAGAAGCATTTAATAAATATTTTGGACTGAGTGAATAAATCTAGAATCCTAAGGAGAAATTGGAATAACTTGATTGTAAATTACTACATTTTCTTTAGTTTTACTTAAATGGATATTATTTCAAGATCTTCATTAAGCAAGTAATTTAGTAAAAAACTTACAGAATCCATAAAAAGAAAGCAAATCTCAAATTTGTAGTTAAGAGTAATAAGTGTTAAGATTAGGGAAGGAAAAACTGTTTCAGAACTGGTTTGAATGAAAACATAGCTGATGTTGCCAAAAAATGGCTTTTTGTGAGTTGAGTCCATTTCCATCATGACTCTAATATCATTAAGATTGAATCATTCATTTCCTCACTATTATATCTAGACAGATTGGAAATTTACCAGAAATGGAAATTATTAAAAGTCTGACTGATGAACAAAGAAGGAATTTGACTA
The DNA here is from genome assembly GCF_000001405.40 of Homo sapiens. Lineage (NCBI taxonomy): Eukaryota > Metazoa > Chordata > Mammalia > Primates > Hominidae > Homo > Homo sapiens. The sequence continues at coordinate 112,762,986 of NC_000007.14, read as the reverse complement.
TGCATATCAGTGACAACTAAATTGGAAGGTCAGTAAAATAGGCCTATAAGCATAAGCAGGTTAAGGACAAGCTAGGGAAACTATAAGTATCTCCTTTTTTATATTGTCTTACCTATTCACTAATTATAACACATAGAAACAATATAAAACGATGAAGTTTAAGCAGTAATTGTTTTGAGAAACCATTCTGTTGATAATTTACATTTATGTTTATTAGGAAATATTGTTATTATTACTTAGACCAAAGTTGACTGAAAATTGAAAACTGTGGGCTACCCGTAAGGTTTTTTGCTTTGAAATATTCAATACCTAAAAGCCATTTTGATTTTAAAAATGAAGTTGACCAGTCATCTTGTATGATGACCTCATAATATTTTATAAGTTTGAACTTAAAATAGTTAGAAGTAGACAGTTTTAGTAAGCTTTTGTTTTTATTTGGTCTAGCCTAAAAGACATTGATTTATCTCAAAGATTTTTAGCAGTGTGCAAGGGACAAATGAGTATGACATAGCTTCCTAGACAAGCAGTGTTCACTCAATGCCAAGTAAACTTTTCTAAGTTCAAAAATATTTTTATATTAAAACACATACCAATGTATTGATGAACAAAATTCGCATTAATTTTTAATATAAACTATAGACTTCCTCAAAGCAATTTTAATCTTGCTATGGGTCATTTGATTCATCCTCCTCACCCCCAAACACTTTGGACCCAATATTGCATGTTAATGACACTCTAAACAAGTTTGTTTGTTTTTTTTTTTTAAATTTTTTGTCTTTTGACTTGGAGTACAAATAGCACAATTAATTTTCACTAAACAAATCATTTTGTTTATACATAGAATTTCAGATAGATGCCATTTTAATGGGATTTTATAATAGATATTTCTAGATTCTTCAGAGTCCTTATACATAATTTGTTCTACACACTTGGGTATTGGTAAGAAAATACAGGATACGGATTTTAATTTGTAATCCACATCCATGTGTATTGATACACGTTCTCTCCTATTTCTCTCCTACCTAATTAGAAGAGTTATTCTTTACAACACCTAACCTTTGGATTCCTCTCTTCCCTTCCTCATGAAACAATTTAATAAAAATGACAATGGCTATTACTTATTGTTCGCTAGGTTCTAGCACTGTGGTAAGTACTTCTGTGTACTGATTTCGTTGAATCCTCCCACCCACCTTTTATGGTAGATATACTTTTATGAATGAGGAAACTGAGGCATAACTTTACCAAAATGACAAAGCTATGTCTAAGAAATTGGGTATCAAACTCAGCTTTAACCCCAAACTCCTTAAAAAAAAAAAAAACTGCTTTGTAATCCTATCATCAATTTGGTATCTTCAGTGTCTCTACTGGCACTTTTCCCTCAGAATACAGTATGAACATTCTCAAGCCCTTTTAGTAGTAAAGAAATCCTCCCACAATTTTACATCAGATCTTTATTTTTTGCTTACAGTGAGGTTATTTGAAAGTTAGTGTTCTGTACTCAGTCTCCAATTTCTCAGCTTCCATTTTATCTTGTATTCATATCAATCTGGTTCCCCTCGGCACTCCACTGACAGTGTTCTTACTAAATCACCAGTGATCTCCATATTGCCAAATAAAGAGATATCGGATCTCTAGAGCATTTATTAACTACTTCCTTTATTTCCTTTTTTTTTTTTTTTTTGGCTTCTGTAAATACTATTCTTGATTTTTCTGCTGTTTTTCTGGACATTCCTTAGTGTGTTTTGCCAGCTCTTCTTTCTGTACACTATATTTTGGGTTTTCTTGTATTCCTTCTGTGCTCATTCCATCTCCTGCTTTCAGTAATCTCATTCACACCTGGGATTTCAGCTATAACACATTCCACTGATTACTCTCAAACATCTATCTCCAACCTAGACATCTCTGGCACTCCAGGTACATGTATTCAGTCATGTCCTAAACACCTTATTTCACAGGTTCCTCAAACTTAAATTCAAATCAGTAGAGTCTCATCCAAATTGCTTAGTTCCCTCTATTCATGTACATGTGGATGGTACCATTCATGCTTTATTACTCATACGAAAATTTCGGCTTTATCCTTGACTCTCCCTCTTCCTCGTTACCCACATCCCATTAGTCTCTATCTAGTATTTTATATAACCATCCCCTCATCTCCATTCCTACTCCCTTTACCCTATGAAGGCCCTCACCATTCTTTCCACTAGTTATTGTTATAGCTTGTTAACTGTTTTTATTCTCCTGTCTCAAGTCTCATTTTGCTCCAATATAACTTCCATATTTTTGCCAAAACAATCTGTCTATACTCCATATAACTTTCACCATAAAGGATACATTCCTTGTGTTAGCATATCAGGCCTGCCTTCAGAGTCCTTATACATAATTTGTTCTACACACTTGGGTATTGGTAAGGAAAATACAGGATACGGATTTAAATTTGTAATCTACATCCATGTGTATTGATACACGTTCTCTCCTATTTCTCTCCTACCTAATTAGAAGAGGTATTCTTTACAACACCTACCCTTTGGATTCCTCTCTTTCCTTCCTCATGAAACAACTTAATAAAAATGACAATGGCTATTACTTATTGTTCGCTAGGTTCTAACACTGTGGTAAGTACTTCTGTATACTGATTTCATTGCCTTGTGATTAGCCTGTTTCCAAAATCTCTAGCTGTTCCTCATCTCAATCACCTTCCTGTCATTTAGAACTGTTTGTAAATCTCTGAAAATGTTATGTGTTTTTTTAAAACCAGTTCTACGTGGGTTCAAAATACATGCTGGTCTCAAAACATGTTAGTCACAAGTGAAGCAAGGCTCAGCAGGGAGAATAGATCGTGCTGGTGGCATAAATCTGGCATGAAAAATGTTTTCCCATGTTATTTATGAATCACAGGTTTGCATTCAGGAGAGATACTCGAGAGTAGAGAATCATGGACAGTGACTAATGAATATAACAGCTTAACTGACTTTTTATGTTATTGATCCCTACCACAACATGTTGGAGATGGGAGGATCATGGCAGGTAGAGGGGAGAGCCTTACAGCTGGTGGGGAGGTAGGTCTAGAGTGCAAGGCTTGGGCTACATAACTATGTGGCATCACTAAGTATCTCTTTAATCCAAAGGCAGGAACTTGCTTGCCACTCTAGTTTTGCCAAAACATCATAGGAAAACGCTTATTACCCAGGCAGTGCTGCAAAATAGGATCGGAGCTATGAAGTCCAGGGGTGAAGTAAGCAGCCCCCTTGCAAACCATGCACCATTTTGTTTTGTGATTTTTCTTTTTTTGGCCCATTGCAGGTAGTGCTGTTTCAGCAGAGCTGTAAGCAGAGCTGCATGGCCAACATCTGTGAAACAGTAAGAGCGGTCCCCACATGGCCTTCTGTCCTCAAAGTGAGGCTTATCAATTCAGAAAGAGTAGGGATTCTGGAGCTATGCTAGTTAATATGCAGGACTCTTCTCATTCCGTGTTATCCAGTAACTGGTAGAATAGATAGTTCTGCTTCATTACGAATGACACAGTTTCACAGTCAAGGGGCACCACTCCCACCCCCTGAACCTTTGAAGAACTCCATCCTCAGGCCTTGGTTATTCCACACAAAGTCCAGAGAAATGACCTAAACTCCACAGTGAGGGGAACCATGACCTACTCCTACCATCCCCTTCATGGGGTCATCAGCCAGCTCTTTCCCAGCAGAGCCACCAGACCCAAAACTCAGCCCTAGATGCTCAGGAAATCTTTGGGTTTTTTTGAGACACCTGTTTGCATCTTCTGCCAGACTTCAGACTGGAAATGCTTTGTGTTCTGTTGCCCCCTTGAATTTGATGCCTAAGATATCTAGAATTTCTGAAAGAGAATGCTTTGCAGGGTACCAGGCTTCCTGTTACATTTGGAGAGGCAGGCTCAGTAGCTTCAGAAGAGTAAAATGTTTTGTTTACACCAGACCAGAGCTCAGATCTCAGCTCTGAAAGATATGGGCTGAAACAGCTACCTTGGAAGTCACTTTTCAGTCAAAGGATGACATTCTGGCAGTCTGCTGCACTCAAGGGTCCATACTTAGGTTTAGAAGTGACTACTAAAGCTGTAGGTGCAGCCAAGGATGGGATGTGGAGTGAGGGTCTTGGCTGACCTATTGATCACAAATAGAGGGTAACGCTCAGCAGTAAAACCCTGAAATACATCAAGATGTCTGATTTGGTCATAGTGTCAGAATTGGAGAAAAGCTAAAAACTCCAAGGAACTAAACTACTGTCACAGTCCAAAAAAAAAAAAAAAAGAGTAATAACCTAACCTTTTTTTTTTTTTTTTTTTGACAAGTTTATTTAATCCAGTGTGGTAGAAAAGGCACAATTCCAATGTATCATTTACAATTGAATGTTGTTAACCTGGCTTTGTTGTTTGGAAGAACAATCCTCTTGTTAGGGTTAGGTAATTACTCCCTTCCCTTACTCCTGGACAGTGAGAGGGGTCTGACATTGGGATATGGTGTCCCAGGAGCTTAGCTGGTCAGGTGTGTGGAACCCAAAGGAGCAAAGAGCCAAGACAGCCCCTTGGAGAGAGAGAGAAATGAAAACCAAGCAAGCTGTTAAATTGAATATCACTCAGGAGTTAGGTAGAATGAAATAATTCAGCCTTGGGACGACGGGACAAAAACCAGATGAAAGCAATGGGGATTTCGAGATGGCAAAGGGTACAGAGAAGTCACAAGAGCAAGGGAGAAAAGCTGTGCACTTTTTTTGTTTCCTGAAGTAGAGTAGTGCAACTGGTCTGATGAATAATCAGGACTTACAAAGTGTAGTTATAAAGCAACTGTATTTCCCACTGTTCCTTTAAATTTGGTAGGTATGGTTGTTCTGGCAGGTTGACTGAAAATTCAAACTTTCTTTTTTTTTTTTTTTTTCCAGGTTATGTTTTGAAGATACAGTCTCACTGTAGTAATGAGAATGACCATTTCCATGTAAAGGGCAAAGATTCCAACCTCGTCAAAATTACAACTACTCTTAACTCCTCTAGCTGGGGAAGGAAATAGGGATAGCTGCTTCGTTTCTTCTCTTTCTTCTTCAGCTTGCAGTCTTTGACCCCTCAAGGGATGGAAGAGAGGTGGAGGGGAGGAAAGAGGCATAAGGAAGGCAGAAGAGTTTGAACTTCACTAGGGCCATGGTAACCTGGCTCCGGCAGACTGCATCTTCTGATGTTTACAGTGGCATCCTGCACTAATACTGCTGATACTGGGGATCTCCCACCTGTATGCAGTTGCTTCTTTACCTTACTCTTTCCATGGCTTTTAGGAATTCATTTGATACCCTAGCTTCTCTGTACTGAGGTCGGTTTGCTGTTCCAGGTGGCCCTCATGGGCAGGACCTCCCATGGCCATATACTGGCACTCTATTCATGGCCTTCTGTGGTCTGTGGGAAACCCTCTCACAACCTTTGCCCTTGCAAGTCTGGGCACCCATGCAGATCCACAGCTGCCTCTTGAACTCATTTCTCAGCGCCTGGCCAATGCTGTGGTCCTTCTGGTTTCACAGACAAGAATCAACACCAGTGCACTGGGCCTGCCAACTGCAGGGCCATGTACCAATCTCTGAGGGCCCAATTAAATCCCTTTCCACTAGGATTTGAGGGGAGGGGTAGTCACCCCATTACCCCCTCCCAGTGGGGGTACTCACAGCATTATAACAACTCTCTCCAAGGAATCCTCTTTATGAACCTGCCTTTTGTCTCCAGCTCCTGAACTTTTTATAACTCCAATGTGGGTAAGGGATTTCGGAGTCATATGAGTTGTTCTTGACCCTCTTCTTTGGCATTTTTCTTCTTTGTCTGACTTACCACTCTTTCAGTTACCTTTTTTTGCTGAGAGTCTCTCACTCTGCTTAAACATCCTTTTCACCAGCAATAACTGTTTGAAATATAATGGGAAAAAGATTCTTCTACCAACAGAAATAGAGAATGTAAGATTAATCAGAAATATTTGGGTCCTATAAGAAATGCATAACTGCACTAAAATATAGAGAAGATTACTAAATACAGAGACAGCATTTTTTTAGGGAATGAATAAATATTGTAAATATCTCAGTTCTTAACAGGGTAGTAAAATAAGTTTAATACAATCATAAGTAAAATGTCAGTAATCTATAGTCCAAGTGTTTTGAGTTTTTTCCCCTATTTTCTGAAATTTTGACTATAAATTTGTTTAATCTTATACCCTTAAGAATAAAGTTAAATACATCAAGGGAATCAAATCATACTGAAGGAATCATAATGAAATGTAACAGTTCCCTATTCCAACATTTCTGACCCAAGTCCCACTCCCAAGAGGAAACCAATATTATTTCTTATGGTAATCAACTCCATGTCTGTAAATAATGTGTTATTTTATAATTTATAATGCTTTTTCTAAATTTGTCAACTTTAGATATTGTTAATGGCCCACTATGATAGATGAGGGCTTATTTCACTTATACAGTTTACTCATCCTTCCAAATGGTTCTATAAAATTATTTCATCATTTTAATATGCTCAAAACTCTATTTCTTATTTCCTCAGTTGTGGACACTATCTCTTGACTCCCCTCCTTTTGTCATGAGGGAATTAGTACTTCTGGTCTTTCCTCACCTTTTACTTCCCCTACCACCACCAACTTGTGACTTTAGTCTCTTTGGTAAACTAACCACAGTCAAATCTCCTGCTGTATTTAATGGTTGATTCTAAGAACTAACAATTCCATTAGTATGACTTCATTATATTGTTCATAGCATAGCCAAATGTGCTGTGACTACATTTCCTCTTTTGTGTAACCTTTTTCACCTGAAGTTTCTGATTGTCTACCTCATCCCACCTGAAGTCCTAATTTTTCTTATATTCTTCCTGAATCCCCATTAAATTATATAATGCATGGAATCTTGTTTTCCCCAAATTCCTTCTCTTGGATCCCACTCTGCCTCTTCTAGTCAGTACCACTTATTCTCTAGAGCTTCTGCAAGGCTGCCATCCTAGGACTTCCCTTGATTATTTTCCTATGTTGGATCTAATATTTCCTGGACCCCACATCTTTCTCTTTCATTTGTACATTTTGATTGGAACACTTTACAAAGCAAGTTCTAAAGAAATGATGCATGGAACGTAAATGTTCTTATACCATGTTTGTCCCATAGAGTTATTATTCTGTTCTCTGTCTTTGCTGGTATGACTGGATAGGTAATTCTAGTCCATAGACACTTACAGGCATTGCCCCTTATTGCTCCATTTTACCGGTGGTCAATATTCTAGTCTTTTTTTCTCTACAGAAGCTTTTATGATATCGTCTTAAAATATCTTCTCTTTACCTTGGTTCTGAAATTATAACGGTCTGGGGCATGGGCATATATTGTAATCATTCTTAGCATTCCATAGCAAGCCCTTTTCATTTGAAGATGTGTATCTTCCTAGAGCTCTGAGAATTATCTTCCATTATTTTCTCTTTTCTCTATTTTCTGTGTGCTCACTTTATTAATATCCTACTACTGGGATGTAGGACTTAATTTTTTTTTTCTTTTTTTTTTTTTTTTTTTTTTTTTTTTGCTGCTGTTCTGCATTTTGGAAGATTTTCTTGGGTTTGCCTTCCAATACTTCTGAGATTTTTTTTTTTCTCCAGCAATCATACATTTAATTTCCAAGAACTCTCATTCTTCATAATTCCTTTTTCATGATATGGATTTAGCATCTTTTAGATTTGTTGAAATGCTAATTAGAGATTTTTTAAAGAATATTGTAGCATTTTTAATAGCAAAAAAAGTTTTCTTAAGCAAAATAAATGTTTACAGGAAAATGGATAAACATATTTATACATCCATTTAAATGAAAAATTTAGAGCTCTACTGACTGATACAGATAAATCTCAAAAACATACATACTGTTTTTTTAAAGTTGTAAATACATTAAGCATGATACCATTTATATAAAATTTTAAAACTTGGAAAGCAATGCTATATATTGATTTTGGATACATATATAATGAAAGTAATATTTTAAGAGAGTAAGAGTAATGTTATATTTTATAAAAATATACATGGAAATGACACATAAATTCAGATTAATGGTAAGGAGTTAGAGATTTAGAAGACAGTAAAGAAGACCTTGAACTTCCTTATTTTTTTTTTTAATTATACTTTAAGTTCTGGGATACATGTGCAGAAAGTGCAGGTTTGTTAAATAGGTATACACGTGCCATGGTGATTTGCTGCACCCATCAACCCATCATCTATATTAGGTATGTTTTCACTCATAAGTGGGAGTTGAACAATGAGAACACAGGGACACAGGGAGGGGAACATCACACACTGAGGCCTGTCAGTGGGTGGGGAGATAGGGGAGGGATAGCATTAGGAGAGAGTTTTTAAAGTTCTCTTTGGATTTCTGAATTTCCTTTGCTTCCTTTGGCATTTGTTGACATTCATGTTAGTTTCCCTCAGTTTCTCTTTTAAATTCCAGGCTTTTCTAAAGTAGCTGAAGATCTTTGGCTACCTCTTCATGTTTAAGGAGGGAGTAATAAAAAGGCTGGTATATGTGCTGCCTAAGTGAATGCTAAAAAGGCTGATTTAAATCTCTTTATCCATAGTGGAAACTGTCAACCAGAGGGCTTCATATTTAAGTGAAAGGGTGGGAAGCCAGCTTTTATATTATGGGGATTTTCCACATGCCCGAAAAAGGCAGGCTTTACTCTCAGGTATAAATACCTACATGCCCTTTAGAGAACTGTTTGAGTTTTTTGCCTGGAGAGTAAAACACCTGGCTATAAGCAGATGAGCATAGGGGAGAAGGGCATTTGGTCGATAGGAAGATCTTCAATTATTACAAATAGCCCCACTTCTTAACTTCTTCCTCAGTTTACCAGCAATCTCTGAGTCCTCTCTGGAGTTGTGCTCCATGAGGCTAGATAGGACATTTCAGAACCAAATGGAAGTTTTAGGACTGATAAATATATCTTAAATTTTAAAATAAATTACTGGATGTCACTCATTGTGTGTTAGGGGAGGAAGGGTATCTGGCATAGGATATCAGAGCCCGTAGAAGGAGTCCACAAAAAGGATGGTCTGACATGGGCTGAGGAGGGCATCCACACCAGCCATAGAGGTGGGATGATGAGAGATTGTCTACATAAAGGCGGACTTACAAATAAGATCATGGGGAGTAGGTTCTTCTGTTGAAGAAAGAAATTGCAAATATGGAAATGGAGAAAACTAGAATGATCCCTAAGGTGTTGGATTGAAAGATAAAGTATCAGGTATATATAGAAATGAATGTTGATATAAATATGTGTAACCATGTGTGTGTGTATTTTTTCACATATATTTGATAGATCTGTCTACTAAAAGGGCCTGAGACTACCAGTCCCCAATAGCAATGAACATACCTATATCTCAGATCTTAGCTTCTGAATATTATTCTCCACTGAAAGGAATAAGGGCTCCTTGGAGAAATAACTGATTACATCTGAATACTTTTGCTGAGGCAGCAGAAATACAAGGTGAGGTTGGAATATGTTAGTCCTAGAAAGGAAGAAGTGTTCAAATAATGATAAGAAACAAATAAAAAAAACACAGAAGTTAGTTTGAAACAACTCCCAGTGGCCAGAGATGGGGAAATTGAGTATCAAAACAAATTACAGTAATGGACCATAGCCCATTGAGTAATATAGGAAATAATGTGCCTATACTGATAAATAAATATATAAATGAAAACTTTGAAGAACAGAATATTTACATTAAAACAATAAGTGAAGAGGCATAAAAGGAGAAGAAAACAGAATACTAAAGAAATACTGGTTTGATCCAATAGAAGGCAAGAAAAAAACAACAAAGGAACAAAGAACTGATAGGATGAACAGAAAACAAATAGCAAATGCTAGGTTTACATTTAATCACATAACTATTAAATGAAATTAGGCTAATGGCTTTAATTAAAAATCAGATTATCAAACTAGAGTTTCTCAGCACCGTTGACATTTTGGAACAGATAATTCTTTGATGTAGAGGCTGTTTTGTGCATTGCAAAATGTTTAACAGTATCCCTGACCTCTACCCACTAGATACCAGTAGTACTACGCTCCTCTCTTTCACTTATGATAACTAAAATTATTTCTAGATATTGCCAACAAGGAAACTCCCCCTTATGATACCGTCAGATCTTGTGAGACTTATACGCTATCACAAGAACAGCATGGAAAAGAGCTGCCCTCATGATTCAGTTACCTCCCACAGGGTCCCTCCCACAACACATAGGAATTCAAGATGAGATGTGGTTGGGGACACAGCCAAACCATATCATGCCCCATGGTGGGGGTGAAGAAATCACCCCTGGTTGAGAACCACTTGACTAGATAAAAACCAAAATCCAATAATATGTTGTTTAAAAGAAATACATGTTAAATACAAAGATATGGGTAGTTTTAAAGAAAAGGATTCAAAAAGATATTCCATGCAAATATTAAAAATGAAATAGCTACCAGGCATGGTAGCTCAGCTACTTGGGAGGCTGAGGTGGGAGGATCACTTGTGCTAAGGAGTTTGAGATTGCAGTGAGCTATGGTCATGCTACTGAATTCCAGCGTGGGTAACAGGAGAACCTGTCTCTAAAAAAAATTTTTTTATTAATTTTTAGCTGATGGGGCTATGCTAATATCAGACAAAGTAGATTTGAAGACAAAGAACATTACCAGAGATAGGTAGATCCTTTTATCATCATGAACTATCTCTGTCAAAGGGACCTAAATGTGCAAGTACCTGATAACAGAACTTCAAAATACACCGAGAATAAATAGACATAAAGGAAAACCATAGAAAATTCCATTATCATATTTGACAATTTAAACACTGCTCTTTCAGTATTGCTAGAGCAACTAGATGCAAATCAGTAAGATAATAGACTACTTGAACAATGCTATCAACCAACCTGACCTAAATGATACCTTCACAATATTACACTCAACAATTGCAGACTATACATTTGTTTCAAAGTCACCCAGAATATTCACCAAGAAAGAGCATATGCTGGGCCAACAAACAAGTATTATTAAATTCCAAGTGACTGCAACCAAACAAAATATTATTTTCTGACCACAACAGAAATAAATTAAAAATCAGTAATGAAAAGATATCTAGATAAATCCACAAGTGTTTTATAACAACATACTTCCAATAAAAGTAGAATATTTCTTTAGCGAAGACTTTTTTTGACCCATAGGATTTTCTTTGGGCCAAAGAATCATAAGGGAAACTTAAAAATATTTTCAAATGATGTCAAAGTTCTTCAAAATAATTGGGTTTTAAAGTATCCCTGATTTGCTGGTACTTTAAGCAAGTAAGTAAAGCTAGCACTGATGCAGGATTATTTTCATGCCAGTACGTAGAATATAGAAATTCATTTTTTTACTATATGTACAAGTTAAATAATATCTGAAAAAAGTTTGTCAGTTAATGTATATGTAAAGGCATATTTTACTGTTGTCTTTTTACTTTTTTTAATCTTTCAAAATACCTAACATCAAAAGACACTGGTTTGATTGATGTTTTCAAATAGTCTCACCAAAAATAATGCTAGCGGAATGAAAGTAATTGTGTATGAAAAATTTTCCATCAGATGACAGCCTTCTTTGAAAAAAAAAGTTTTTCAGAACTTTCAAATGCCTTAAAAATACTGATGCAAGATAAATTTGCTAATCAACTCAAGATTTTTTGATTTTGAACAATTGTCAAGACAGATACAGTATTTTTAATAGGTGTGACAGTTTTCTTTCAGATGATAATTATAAATTTTATAAGATTTATATTTATCTTGTTTTATTCTTTAAACAATTTTTTTGACTTTTTGAATATCTACTTAATGTTAAAATATGTTTTTTTTCTCCTTCCGACTTTTATGTTCAGAGGGTACCTGTGCAGATTTGTTACATGAGTAAGTTGTGTGTAGCGAGGTTTGGTATATAAATGATTTCATCATCCAGGTAGTGAGCATAGTACCCAATAGGTAGTGTTTCAATCCTCATCTTCCTCCCACCCTCTACCCTCAAGTAGGTCCCAGTATCTGTTGTTCCTTTCTTTGTGTCCATGTGTACTCAGCGTTTAACTCACACTTCTTATAAGTAAGAACAATATTTGGTTTTCTGTTCCTGCATTAATTCACTTAGGGTAATAGTCTCCAGCCTCATCCATGTTGCTGCAAAGGACATGATTTTATTATTTTTTATGGCCATGTAATATTGTGTAGTATACATGTACCACATTTTCTTTATCCAGTCCACCGTTGATGGGCATCTAGTTAAGCTCCATGTCTTTGCTCTTGTGCATGAGAAGTGCTGTGATGAGCATACACATGCATGTGTCTTTATGGTAGAACAATTTATATTCCTTTGGTTATATACGCAGTAATGGGATTGCTGGGTCAAATGATAGTTCTGTTTTCAGTTCTTTGAGAAATCTCCAAACTACTTTGCAGTGGCTGAACTAATTTACATGCCTACCAACAGTGTGTAAGTGTTCTCTTCTATCCACAACCTTGCCAACATCTGTTACTTTTTGACTTTTTAAAAATAGCCATTCTGACTGGTGTGAGATGGTATTTCATTGAGCTTTGATTGGCATTTCTCTAATGATGAATAATGTTGAGCATTTTTTTCATATGGTTTTCAGCTGTGTGTATGTCTTCTTTTGAGATGTGTCTGTTTATGTTTAAAGGCATATTTAGGATAACAACCAAATCATAAGATTTTGCTAAGTATCAATATATAGTCATGTATTGCTTAACAATGGGGATACATTCTGAGAAATGCATCGTTAGGTGATTTCCTTGTTGTGTGAATATCAAAGTGTGCTTACATAAATCTAGATGGTATTGCCTGCTAAACACCTAAGCTATATGATGTAGCCACCATCATTGATGTGCTCCACCCTTGACCAAAATGTTGTTATGCTGCACACGACTGCATAAAAAACCTGAAGCCATTTTTCAAATCCAGGGACCCTGGTGTCCCCCTTGTGGAGCATTATAGAGTCACAGAGGATAAAACCTCCAAAAGAGAATGAACGCAGAACTTTCCTCACATGAAACCATTCTCTCTACTTATTGTCAGAGGATGATGTTTCAACTGAGTGTCTACTCTGACTCTAGAAAGTGATTTTCATCCTTGGATACAGTCACTGAAGTATCTTGCCTGACTGTGACCATTTACTGTGGAGATACAGCTTAGCTTATTCTGACACTTCAAAATTAGACATTCCTACCATAGGCTGGTTTTGACAACTTTGCCCTGGATACGATAAAAGTCTTCCCTTATAGAACTTCATCAAAGTCTGTGACTGCCTGTGAGTATTTCCTGAACACCTGTAGTTCTCTCTCAATTGTTTTTATCTGGCTTATGCAAATCGTTGCCTAGAATCCCAAACAGGAATCCTGTGTAGTACACATATTCACTTAATCCTGTATCATACTTGCCTGCTCTTTAATTGGTCATACTTGCTATAATAGATTGTGAAACCCATTCTCAAGCCCAACTAGCTTTGGATAGCCAAAGAAAGAGGTCATCAAAACCATTAAAATGGTTTCCTTGCATCCTTGGGCAGTCATTTACCCTTCATTTTTAACCTCACACTTATAAAAATGGAAGACTAAAGAAGGTAATAAATATAATGTTAACATTTAGTTGTTCAGAACAGAGAATAAAGAAATTCAATGTTATTTCATAAAGAATTCAATGTTATTTTGTAAGTCCAGAAATTGTTTTGAGTGCAGTCAGTGTTGGGATTGTAGAAAATTATGGTTGTAACTAATATTTTGCATATAAGGCATTTCCAACTAGGAATGAGCTTATAACTTTAGCTAGCATGTGAAAAGGAATAATTTTAGTGATGGATCCTAATCAGGATAAAAGATTGTTAAGTCTGTATCTAGACATTTCACAGTGAAATTGCAGGGAAAAAAAATCTAAAGCAAATAGTTTTTTTTATTATTTATTTGTTTGTTTGTTTGTTTTTTGAGACACAGTCTCTTTCTGTTGCCCAGGCTGGAGTGCAGTGGCATGATCTCAGCTCACTGCAGCCTCAACCTCCCAGGCTCAAGTGATACTCTCGCCTCACCCTACCAGGTAGCTGGGACAACAGGCATGAGCCACTACACCCAACTAATTTTTGTATTTGTTGTAGAGATGGGGTTTCTCCATGTTGCCCAGGCTGGCAAATAGATTTTTAAAGTAACAGATTATCTTCAAAGTGGCAAAATGTACCCTGTCAGCTCTGGTTTAGCAGTAGTATGAAAAAATCAAGGGACAACAATTATATAACCAATATACTAAAAGAAAATAATGACTAACATAGAATTCTATGCTTCAGGAATGAAGCATTCTTCATTCTTCAGGAATGAAAATGAATAATATCCTTCAGGAATGAAAATGAATAAAGACATTGTCAGTCAAAAACTGAGAGAATTTGCTACCAGCAGACTTCCAGGAAGGAAATAGGCATGTTAGGCAGAAGAAAAATACCAGCTATGCAGGCAAGAAAGAATATTTAAAAAGCCATAAATTAGTAGATAAATCTAAAAGAACATTGACTATGTAAAATAATAACAGTAAAGTTTTGTGGAGTTTAAAATATAGAGAGAATCAAAATAAAGGTCATATGTCCAACAATAGTATATTAGTTGTATTTTCCTACTAGAGGGTTAAGGTACTAATTTGTCACTTCTAGGGTAAAAAAATTGCATAGTTTTCAGACTAACAGGAAAACAGAATTTAAAAATCAATCACTTCATAAAAAGGCAAGAAGAGAGAGAAAACAAAACAGAATAGGCAGGACAAATAGCACAGTAAGAAGGTTGATTTAAACCCACATTTACCACTTCAAAACTTTTGAGGATGATATATAGGAGTATATTAGTCCTTTCTCTCATTGCCATAAAGAAATACCTGAGACTGGGTAATTTATTTATTTATTTATTTAATTTTTTTTGAGAGAGAGTTTCACTCTTGTTTCCCAGGCTGGAGTGCAATGGCGCAATCTCAGCTCACTGCAACCTCCGCCTCCCGGGTTCAAGCAATTCTCCTGCCTCAGTCTCCCAAGTAGCTGGGATTACAGGCATGCGCCACCACACCCAGCTAATTTTGTATTTTTAGTAGAGATGGGGTTTCTCCATGTTGGCCAGGCTGGTCTCGAACTCCCGACCTCAGGTGATCTGCCCACCTTGGCCTCCCAAAGTGCTGGGGTTATAGATGTGAGCCACTGCGCCCAGCCAAGACTGGGTAATTTATAAAGAAAAGAGGTTTAATTTGCCTATGGTTTGGCAAGCTGTACAGGAAGCATGATGCTGGCATCTGCTTGGCTTCTGGGGAGACCTCAGGAAACTTACAATTATGGTGGAAGGCAAAGTGGGAGCAGGCACATCACACGGCCACAGCAGGAGGAAGAGTGAGAGGAGGGAGACGCCACACACTTTTAAACAACCAGATCTCATGAGGACGCACTCACTATCATGTAGACAGTACCAAGGGGATGGTGCTAAATCATTAATGAGAAGCCACCCCCATGAGCCAATCACCTCCCACCCAATAGGCCCAACCACCAACACTGGGGATTACAATTCGACATGAGATTTGGTGGGGACACAGATCCAAACCATATCATGGAGTATGACAGAAAAGAATGTACCTGATTTAGTTAATTCAATTTGCCTTGCCCTAAGAAATTTTTAATAAGTTCCCATGCACAGAAATTTTTAAATGGTCACTTCTTGGATACTTTAGGTACCGAGAGAGCACCAGCAAGGCCTTCTGTATCCATCAGATCTCTTAGTCCTCATGATGATCTTTCAGGACCTCTAAATTGTGTCCCCAATTTAGAGGTAAGGATTGCCTAAAGTTGCTCAGATAGTAAGTGACAAAAACAAGATTCAAACCAGATCTAACTCAACTCCAACACACATCCCACTATGACAGTTAGACACTTAATAGCATAAAGTTTAGTCATGATGTTCAAATATATCCTGAGTTCTTAATTATTCAGGAGAAACAGATGGACATTTTGCAACAAACCCTTCTTAAAAAAATCCCTGAGATTTATTAAGTTACAAAATAGGTCTTCAAAACAAATGTACTAAACTTAGCCTATAGTTCTGTACACAGCTACTCATATTCAGGAATTTATGGAGGTGTTACACATCCTATATTTTCCCCATATTGTGGCCCACACTGCATATGCATTTCAGGTCCTGCTTGGATCTCTGTTTAATTCTACTAAGAACATGCATTCATTTCTTGTTAAAAGTATAGTTTTCATTTCTGAAATGACTTATAATAGAAGACAATGTAATTACATTAGAAGACATTTTAATTTGCAAATTCATTTCCAGCTAAGATTTGTGGAAAATAAAATCTAATTTATGCTAAAGTATATCAAACCTGCTGATCAATTCTCTTTTAGTGACTTCCCAGGAAGAAACTGATGTTGGCTATAAGGTTAGGGTTAAGACACAGCAGTTATCTTTCAACCATATTGCTTCTGAAAAGTACCAATCTGTTTTTATGCTGCAGAAATGAAGATTGCATTACCTATTTTTCACAAAATGAGAACTTTGCCCAAACTATAAAAAAGGGAGGCTTTTTTTTTTGGTTGTTTTCCTTCCAGTCATTTATTTCCAGGTACATTCACTTTTATTTCCTTCACATTTTTACTATTTGAATCCTAATGCCTTCTATACTGACTTGTTAACTGTGTTCTAATATTATACACATGAAGTGACGGTAGCTTGTTCCAAGATCATTACAAGAGAATAAGTTGGAGAAAGAAAATTCATTGCTAGAAAAGATAAATGGATGACATATTGGCCCCCAAACCCTGTTTCTAATGGAAAATCCCATGCAAGAGATGAAACGTTACTAGAAAACATGAACCGCTTCATTAACTTTATGCCCAAGTTCTATCAGCAATTGATTTTTAATGCCTGTGTTCATCATTTATGAGCTCTTAGTATTCTTTACATATATTTTAAATTAACCTTTATAAAATGAACTAGTTATACTGTGACTCTCACTGTATCATCTATATAAAGCATCTCAAAGAATAATTCACAGAGGAGAAACAGAAAGCTTATGAGCCTGTGGTTTTGTGGTGCAAATTACTAAATGTCAAATGTGGCAGCTATAAATGCCACTCTATTTGAAATGACCTTAAAAATTGCCAACACATTGTGAAGTATACTTTTGGAAAAATCAAGATTACATTGCTTTCTTTTATTATATTTCAATGGTATCTTTCAGCCAACGTTCCTAGCAATATAACAGTGAGTCCATCTGCATCACAATATATTTATTATTGATAGAAAGATATGAATTTGGAAATTGCTGCAAGTCAGAGCAAAGTAGATTACAGTGAGCCAAGCACACTAGTTATCAAGGTGGGTTCTAGAAATAACAATTCCACAGACACAGTAAGCAATCCATTGAGATTCGTAGAGTTGTCTGGAATAATTATTTTAAATAGGAAGTTAAAAAGCAATGGAGGCCGGGCCCGGTGGCTCACTCCTGCAATCCTAGCACTTTGGGAGGCTGAGGCAGGCAGATCACGATGTCAGGAGTTCGAGACCAGCCTGACCAACATGGTGAAACCTCGTCTCTACTAAAAATACAAAAATTAGCTGGGCGTGGTGGTGGGCACCTGTAATCCCAGCTACTCAGGAGGCTGAGGCAGGACAATCGCTTGAAATCGGAAGGCGAAGGTTGCAGTGAGCTGAGATTATGCTACTGCACTCCAGCCTGGGCAACAAGAGTGAAACTCCGTCTGTGTAGAAAATAAGGTTTGAAAACAGGATTTTATAAGCCTGCTTGTAACCAGTGGTGGGGCAAAACTGTTCAATATAGCTTTGTTGTTACTGGAACTATGTTAAAAATAAATTGCCAGAAGCTGATTGATTTAAGAGATGTTTTTGAACTTATCACTAGAGGATAGCTACCATTGGCTAACAGCCAACCTCTGTTGTAAGCCCTTGACATATGTTAACTCATTTAATCTTTTTCACAATCCTTTCAAGGAGGTACTATTATTCTTATTTTAGGAATGAGAAAGTGAGGCAGAGAGGTAAAATAAGGTAAAAATAATTCACCCGAGATCACCAAGTAGGAAAGGGAGGGGTCCACCCTGGGTGATCTGGCTCTGAAGCCTGATTCTAACCACATATGGTAAGCTCTCTTCAACTGAGTGTTCGAATCAAGTGGCAATGTTCTTTCATTAAAGGCATAGAAGTATATTTGGAAGAATTCTAGTATATGTGGGAGGCCTTGAAGAATCTTCAAAATTGAACCAATCATTAGTGGGAATATCAAACTTTCACTGGATTCTTCCTGCTCTAACAAAAAGATTAACCCTGTAATCTGCAAACATTCAGCCCCAGACATTTAAATTCTTACTAAATACTCTATGTTATCTCATTTAATCCTCATAACAACCCTATAGACTAGAGTGGATTTTATTTTCTCCATTTAAATTAACACATGACATGGACTTTTACAAAATGAGGGTGGACACCACAAATATAAATTCTGAAAATGCCAAGGGATTTATATATTACTATATCCTTTTTATAGATTTATGAAAAAATTTTGCTTAAAAAACCTGAGACCACAAATACCAACATATCTGGTTCTATAAGAATTGCGATAGGAAGCACTACTATAGAAGAACAAACTAACATAATAAGTTAATGTAAGAGATATATAGGGTAATGATACTTGGGTAATGTGGAAGTTGGGTTGGTTCATAGACTGTTTTTTATAGTTAAGGACATTTAAAATTGTAGAATTACAAACCTCAGCAGAAGGAAAAAAAAAAAAAAGACCTCAGCTGGGCTGGTAACATTAGCCTTGTTAGCTGTATTCTAGGAAAATTAGAAACAAGAGCTCTCTCCCCAGAGAAGTGCCCCAGGCTGCAGCAGCTCAACTCCAAACAGGTTTCACTACCTCCTATGCCCACTTAGAGGGAGGCTCCACAGGCTCTAATCTCTGTGTTCTCTGGCCATGCTTGAGTGTCTACCAGCCCTCTCCTAATTAAATTTTGTCAACACTTCTATTCTAGTTCTTTGTTCAATCTAATATTCCCTGTAGTGAATTCCAATCGCACTGAGCTGCCTGCCTTAACAGGCCATTTTAATACCCAGGTACCTGTGATTTTTTTTTTTTTTTTTTTTTTTGGTGGTGGTTTTTAGTGCTCTGGTTATCATTAAGATGTTATTTTATTATTTACGTTATAAGATAAAAAATAAAATAATCATAAACATGGAAAAGATTTTTATTAAAGGGTAATATCTCTCCTGGCATTGCAATTTTCCATCCACCTTTATGTTTATTTTTGCCATTGGTCTTCACCTGATTTGGGGTGGGGAGCAGATATCAAAGTCACTTAGGAAAAGCTTTTAAATAATTCGTACCCTCCTACTCTTCCCTTCTGCAAGATTATGTTTTGTTGAAAACAACCATTTTTTAAAAATCAAGCATAACCTACATTTCCCCAATTCCTCAAAGTTCTTAAACAAGAGTTTCAAAATCCTTAGGAATTTATAGACCTTTTTATTTTTTTAAGGCAGGGAGGAGGGCTTTATGTTTAAATGTACTTATATAACAAGCTTTCCTGGCCATGAGTAAAACATCCTGTTTTATGTTAAGCACCATCACATAACAAGATATAACCGTATATGTTTTTGCAGCAGTTTTAAAGTTTCTTTCATTTCTAAATTGAAAAAGATACTATTAATTTTAAAATTTCAGTTAAAGGAAAAAAGGTAATTGAAGACCCCTTCCTGTGTTAAGGAACCATAGATTATTCAATAGTATTCTCTGAAGGTTCTCAAAATAAAATTATTTCCATCCTGATTTTAATTTAAGGGAATCTTAACTAGCACATTTACTTTAAATATGTACTTCCTCTGTTGTTCTCTCTTCTCTATCTCCCAAGTGGCTTTTTCATCCAGAAATTGGAAGGCACTACACCTTTAGGCTAGTAGCCTTTGGGTGAATGAAAAACAGAGTTCAGACTGAAGAAGTGTTGTGCGTGTCTGCTCAGACTATCTTTCTTCCATCATCTCCTGCTACTAATTCTTCACCAGTAAAAGTGTACATTCCCGTCCCCACCCCAAGGTTAGATAATTGGGGAGTTGTTGGGAGTCTCTTATTAGTTGGCACAGCTGAGTTTTATTTATTTATAATTTATACTCCATGTATCTCCAACATATTTGAGGTGGTCAACAATAAAACTAGTATGTCCATTATAGAAATTAAAAGTAATCTTTCCCATTTTCCCAACTAATCCCTGAATACACCCCCCTCCCCTCCCCCACAATAATAGAAAGAAGTAAAATTTAACTTTGATTCAGCCTTGGTTAAAATGATAGGAAAGCATAAGTTACAATAATATTTGATTATTTCTGATCATCTCAAGAACATAGGAATCAAAAATATTGGATAGGTGGGGAAAACATTTTATTTAGAATTAAATGAATGTGCCAGTTACTAAGTTTTTGTTTCTCAGCATCAAATCTATCCATTCTGTGCTACATAATGCTGGAGCTGAGACTTTACAAACTACATTCCAGCTGGCTCCCTCTTAAGTTCTGCCAATTATGGTGATGACAGGAGGTTGTTTAGAAGGACAGCACAAGGTGGAGACAGGAAGAAAGAACTACTTGCTCTTGCCTGCTTCCTCTTCCTGGAAGCATCAGCCCTACATTGCTTTTTCACCCTAAGAAGGCAATTCCGCTCCCCAATGCTGCCTCACCCTGAGAGGGCAAGTCCTTCCCATCACAACTCTTATAGAACCAGCCTTTTTGCACCTTGTCAGAGACACAAAAACTAGCTATCTAAAGACCCCTTTTTAGAGATCTGAGTTTCAGAGCTTCTTGTCTCCAAGCTTCCAAGTTTTAATACAGATTGAACATCCCTAATTCAACAACCTGAAATTTTAAATGCTCCAAAATCTGAAACTCTGAGGACTGACATGATGCCACAGGTGGAAATTTTCACAGTTGACCTCATGTGATGGGTCACAGCCAAAATACAGTCAAAACTTTGTTTTATCCACAAAATTATTTAAAATCTTATATAAAATTATCTTCAGGCTATATATATGTATATGGAACATAAGTGAATTCCATGTTTAGACTTGGGTGCCATCCCCAAGGTATCTCATTATGTATATGCAAATATTCCAAAATCTGAAGAAAGCTGAAATCAAACACTTCTGGTCCTAAGCATTTTGGATAAGAAATACTCAAACCTGTATGTGCAACCTCTTCCCTTTGTTCCCCCAGCCCTAGGAGTGGTATCTGCTCCTGCAGTTGCTTTATGTTTCCTTTTTGCCTTTTTAGCCACCTAACTAACAACTTTATACCTAATTAACAATTCCTTATGTTATATTTTCTGTTAAATAAGTAGTGTGACTACTATATCCCGACAGGATCTTAATGGCTACAATGGATAGAGGCCATGTCTCTTATTATCTTCACTTATGTGAAGCAGTATGCCTCCTAAGATAGTCTAACACTCTCTTCCAGAGCTATTAATACAAAGATCTTCCCATGATAGTCAATTTTTGTTAAAGTTTCTCCAACCACACTGGAAGCAAGAAAAAAATTATTTTTTTAAAAAAGTTTGTTTTAACAAGGAGGCAAGTAAGACATTCTTTTATTCCCTTTTTTATTTTTGGCAAAATATGCTTATTGTAAAAATTGTCGTTTGCTCTTTTTTATGGTGTAAATGAACTTTGTTAGACCTATGACTGCATGCATTATATATGGGTCAGAAAAGCCAGACTCTAGGTCTAATTTTTCTATTTGTTAGCTTGGTAAATAAAATGAAGATGGTGGTGCTAGCAGCTTAAAAACTACACCCAATGGGAAGTCTGGATTATTTAATGATTTACTACTGGAAAATTAAAAATAAATTTAAAAGAATGCTAGAAAGATCACAAGTTCTATAAAGAGAGAGATCACTGGGAGCCTGGGATTATATTCTCAAATGAAATTTTAACTTTCAGCTCTCTGGCAAGCCAAGGAAATAATCATTGCTTTTATGTACAAGTAAAGAAGTGACATCATCAAAATTGCTGACTAGTGATGCTTGATACGCATCCCTCCCACAAGGACCAAGGCAACAAATAAACAGCTAAGATTTTACTGGGATGTTGAAGGGAGAGTGCTGATGTGCAGCAAGGGAGTGGAGATGCACCTGTGGTGATTCACTGACATCCAGGAGGGCGGTATGGAGGTACCTGGTGTCTGCAACCATCTCCCCTGCTCAGATTGAATCTGCCAGGAGTCAGGAGGAACTTCCCATTTCAGGGGGAAAAGGTAGGCAAAAGATCCCCACCAGTCGCCATTGCCACCACAAACACTCACAGTTCTTAGGACAGGAGAATCACATGCTCCTTGCAAGCCCTGAGCCCAGTTTGGAGAACTGCCAGGAATTCATGCAGCTGCATTGCCCCAGTTTAGGGGCATGACGTGTATACTTCCCACCCACCACTCACCCTCTGCAAGACAAGCTGGTGCAGCATCGCATCATGAGAACAGAGCCATCTCTGTAGTGCACCTTGTTCTGATGGCCAGTAGCCACTGTTCCTCTCCAATACTGGGGCTTCATCTTAATTTTACCAAGCCTACACAGGTGGCTGAATGCCACAACTCCATCTGCACAAAGCTCAGGCCCAGGGTAGGTTGTGATTCAGGTCTTGCACAGCAAGGTAACCCACCCATCCCTGCTGCCACACTTCCACCTGAATGAACAGTCTGGCAGTCCCACCCAGGGTGAACTCAACCTTGAGCCAGCCAAACCACTGCATGCCCCCCTCAAAGTAGGAGAGGCATCCAAGCCTCTGAACAGCTAATACATACTTCAGGCTGGTGGCGCAGCTACACACTTCTGCTCAGGACCTGAAAAATAGCCCTGTCCCTGTAGTGTCCTCCCACTCCCCAGCAGACATGCCCCTAGCCTGCCCAATGGCCCTGCACCTGCAATCAAGATCTGAGACACAGTCCCACAGTCTGGCTTCTGGTGGGCACAACCCTAGGCCAGCCAAGCAGCTTTGAGCCCATGACCTGGACCTAAGAAACAGTCCCCAAAGGCTATCCTGAGCTAGCTGAGCTGCCTAACACCTGTGTCCCAAAATTGAGAAACACTCCGGTGGGTCCCCCTTCCCCAGAGCAGACACACCCTTAGGCCATCTGAGCAGCCTTGCACCCATGTCTCAGGCCTGAAAAACAGTACTGTGGGCTATCCCTGGTAGATATACTACCAAGCCAGCTGACCAGCTGTGTGCCTACATTCTGGACGTGAGAACAATTCCACAATGTACTCCTGGCAGGCATGCCACAAGGCCAGCCAAGCAAATGTGTGCCCATGCTCCCAGCCACAGTAATAACTCCATGGCCTCAATTCCAGTGAGCCAGACCCCAAGGTGACTGAACCACTATGTGCACACACACTCCCCAAACCTAAGAAATAGCCTGGAGAACCCACTCCCAGCATAGGAACCCACTCCCATTACCATCAAAATCTTAGCCTAGGACACTGAGACACTCATAAATGTTACTAGTGTGGATTACAGCTGAAAAAAAAAAAAAGACTACATGGAGACTACACTACAGTGTCCACCCAGAACCAAGGCCAACACTCCAAGACCCATTCATACAAATAAGCTTTTCCCTATGAAACCTACTTCATAAAATTGGAAGAGGCAATTTTTCCACCAGATATGTAGAAATCAATGTAGGAACATGTTGAACATGAAAAAGAAAGGAAACATGACACCTCCAAAGGAAAACAATGTCTCCAGTAATAGACCCCAATCATAAGGAAATATGTCAAATGCCAAAAATGAATTCTAAATAATAGTAAGGAAACTCAGTGAGATACAAGAGAACACAGATAGACAATTCAGTGAAATCAGGAAAGTAATTATTTGAATGAGAAATCCAACAAAGACAGATATCATTAAAAAAGAGCCAAACAGAAATCCTAGAGCTGAAGAATTCAATGAATGAAATGACAAAATACAATCCAGAGCTTCAACAACAGACTAGACCAAGCAGAAGAAATAATTTCTGAACTTGAAGGCAGGTATTTTGAAATATTACAAGTGAACAAAAGAAAGAAGGAAAGAAAGAAAAGAAAAAAGCATTTTAAAAATGAAGAAAGCCCGGAAATGCAGAACGTGCACTCCTGGCTGGAGCTGCAGCACTGGAGCAAGGGTCTTGCAGCTGGGCATGGGGTTACTGCACAAACACTATGTGCCCAAAGGCTAGGCTGCTTTGTAGCTGGAGTAGTGCCCCTGTGGCCAGGGCGGGTAGGCAGGGGCAGCCTCAGAGTTGATACCCATGTGGAAGGGTCAGCATCTGCTGGTCCCTGGTGGGCTCCGCCTTCAATGTCAGGGCTACCACTTGGACCTGTTTAGTGAGCACTGGGGTCTTTTTGGATGTCCTGAGCTCAGCGCTCCAGAAAAATTTAATATTGCCCAATAAAAAGCCTTGAGAAAGACAGAATTGCTTGTGGAACATGCATGTTCCACCCCACCTGGACCCCAGATTGTGCGCATCTTCGATGAGCTCTCAGATTCCTTGTTCAGAGTGGCTGACTTGGATGAACACAAATGTGGAATTATGTCAAAGTTTGCAAAAATTACTAGCTGATTAAAAACAAAACAAAAACTAGGCAAGTGGCCTAACTGTTTATGTTTGATTTTGAAATTAGTGGAATCCATCTAGACAAAGAAAAGTGTAAAAGAGCAGTGGACCTCAATGTTAAAATCTTGGATTTGAGTAGTACATGTCTTACGGCAAACAACTTTCCCAACAAGATTGAGAAGCATCTCTTACTAGAACACATTCACCATAACTTTTATCTGATGGGGATCGTATCATAATTGATGGTCTCCATGCAGAAGCACCAGGCGACTTGGTGTGAGAAGCTGCTTACAAAATTTTTCTTCATCCCTATACTGGTCAGTTAAAATGTTTAGAAGAATTGCTCAGCAACAGAGATCCTCTGCAAAAGTTGGTAGGGTATTCTGTGTTTTCCAGCAGGGCTCTCCAAGGAACAATAGTTAAAAATTCAGAGACTGTCATCCAGTTCCCTGAGAAACTCTCTGACAAACTTTCTGAAAGAACTTGAAAAGATTTTGAGATGATACGACAGATGAAAAGTGAAACAGAAGAACAAAGCTTTAGGCATCATGCTACCTGACTTCAAACTATACTACAAGGCTACAGTAACCAAAACAGCATGGTACTGGTACCAAAACAGAGATATAGATCAATGGAACAGAACAGAGCCCTCAGAAATAATGCCACATATCTACAACTATCTGATCTTTGACAAACCTGAGAAAAACAAGCAATGGGGAAAGGATTCCCTATTTAATAAATGGTGCTGGGAAAACTGGCTAGCCATATGTAGAAAGCTGAAACTGGATCCCTTCCTTACACCTTATACAAAAATTAATTCAAGATGGATTAAAGACTTAAACATTAGACCTAAAACCATAAAAAACCCTAGAAGAAAACCTAGGGATTACCATTCAGGTCATAGTCATGGGCAAGAACTTCATGTCTAAAACACCAAAAGCAATGGCAACAAAAGCCAAAATTGACAAATGGGATCTAATTAAACTAAAGAGCTTCTGCACAGCAAAAGAAACCACCATCAGAGTGAACATGCAACCTACAAAATGGGAGAAGATTTTCACAACCTACTCATCTGACAAAGGGCTAATATCCAGAATCTACAATGAACTCAAACAAATTTCCAAGAAAAAAACAAACAACCCCATCAAAAAGTGGGCGAAGGACATGAACAGACACTTCTCAAAAGAAGACATTTATGCAGCCAAAAAACACATGAAAAAATGCTCAACATCACTGGCCATCAGAGAAATGCAAATCAAAACTACAATGAGATACCATCTCACACCAGTTAGAATGGCGATCATTAAAATGTCAGGAAACAACAGGTGCTGGAGAGGATGTGGAGGAATAGGAACACTTTTACACTGTTGATGGGACTGTAAACTAGTTCAACCATTGTGGAAGTCAGTGTGGCGATTCCTCAGGGATCTAGAACTAGAAATACCATTTGACCCAGCCATCCCATTACTGGGTATATACCCAAAGGACTATAAATCATGCTGCTATAAAGACACATGCACACGTAGGTTTATTGCGGCACTACTCACAATAGCAAAGACTTGGAACCAACCCAAATGTCCATCAATGATAGACTGGATTAAGAAAATGTGGCACATATACACCATGGAATACTATGCAGCCATAAAAAATGATGAGTTCATGTGCTTTGTAGGGACATGGATGAAATTGGAAATCATCATTCTCAGTAAACTATCGCAAGAACAAAAAACCAAGCACCGCATATTCTCACTCATAGGTGGGAATTGAAAAATGAGAACACATGGACACAAGAAGGGGAACATCACACTCTGGGGACTGTTGTTGGGTGTGGGGAGGGGGGAAGGATAGCTTTAGAAGATATATCTAATGCTAAATGACGAGTTAATGGGTGCAGCACACCAGCATGGCACATGTATACATATGTAACTAACCTGCACATTGTGTACATGTACCCTAAAACTTAAAGTATAATAATAATAAAATAAAATTAAATTAAATTAAATTAAATTAAATTAAAAAAAAGAAAATGAAACAGAATTCTCAAAGTTCCAAAGTAATGCCTTGGGACCCCCACTACCAGAGTGGTGTGATTCATGCACAAAGGTATAATATTGACCCTGGCTTATATTGCCTGTTTTTCTCCCTTGGAGCATGCATGGAAGGCCTGAATATTTGGCTTAACAAACTGTTGGAGATTTCCTTATATGCAGAGTAGCCTGCAAAAGGAGAGGTATGGTGTGAAGATGTCCGAAAACTGGCCATCATTCATGAATCTGAAGGACTGTTGGGGTGCATTTACTTTGATTTTTTTCAGCAAGCAGACAAACCACATCAGGATTGCCATTTTCGAATCCACAGAGGCAGATTAAAGGAAGACAGAGACTATCAACTCCCAGTCATAGTTCTTATGCTGAATCTTCCCCATTCCTCAAGGAGTTCACAAACTTTGCTAACTCCTGGAATGATGGAAAATCTTGACCATGAAATGGGACATGCTATGCATTCAATGCTAGGACGTACTTCTTACCAACACATCACCGGAACCAGGTGCCCCATTGATTTTGCAGGGGTTCCTTCTATTCTAATAGAGTACTTTGCAAATGATTATTGAGTAACCAGTTTGCCAGACAAAATTAGAATGGGCAGCCACTGCCAAAAAAATATGGTGTCTCAGCTTTCTGAATCTAAAAAAGTTTGTGCTGCAGCTGATATGAAACTTCAGGTCTTTTATGCCCCTCTGGATCAAATCTACCATAGGAAGCATCCCCTGAGGAATTCAACCACAGACATTCTCAAGGAAACACAAGAGACATTCTGTGGCTTACCATATGTTCCAAATACTGCCTAGAAGCTGCGGATCACCTACCTCATGGGCTATAGGGCCAAATATTACTCTTACCTCATGTCTAGGGCAGTCACTTCCATGGTTTGGAAGGAATGTTTTCTACAAAATCCTTTTAACAGGGCCACCATGGAGTGCTATTGCAGGGAGATGCTGGCCCACAGTGGAGGCAAGAAGCCCATGCTCATGGTTGAAGGTGTGCTTCAAAAGTGCCCTTCTATTGATTACTTTGTAAGTGCCCTTGTTTCTGACTTGGATCTGGACTTTGAAACTTTTGTCATGGATTATGAATCATGGAAACACCCTAAATCTCTTAAATCAAGGCAATGTAGATATTGACTTTGTTATAAATGCTACAGCTGTGAAAGCTTGTTTCTGATTTCAGTGTTGATTTCTGTAATAATTTCTGAAAAACTTTAAACTGATAGAACTTGGAATAAATCATTTGTTTTAATTATATAGAAATGAAGAAAGCCTACAGATGTATGAGACACCATTAAGTGAATAAATATTCATATTCTGGGTGTTCTACAAGGAGAAGAGAAGAGAATAGAAAAGGAGAGGAAAACATATTTAATAAAATCATAGCAGATAACTTCCCAAGTCTTGGGAGAGAGATAGGCATCCAGGTCCAGAAAGCTCAAAGAATCCCAATTAGATTTAACCCAAGCAGGTCCTCTCTGAAAAATGTTGTAGTCAAATTGTCAAAAGTCAAAGACAATGAATTTTAAAAACAGCAAGAGGAAAGAATTAAGTCACATATAAAGGAATCTTCATTAGACTAACAGTGTACTTCTCAGCAAAATATTTACAGGCCAGGAAAGAATGGGATGATAGATTCAAAGTGCTGAAAAAAAAAAACTGTCAGCCAAGAATATTAAACCCAGCAAAGCTACACTTTAGAAATGAAGGGGAAATAAAATATTTCACAGATAAACAAAAATTAAGGAAATTTACCACGAGAACAGACTTACAAGAAATGCTCAAAGGAGTCTTACATCTGGAAGTAAAAAAATGGTAACCACCATGATGAAAACATGAGAAACTATAAAACTGACTGGTAAAGCCAATACACAAAGGAGAAAAAGAAAGGAATAAAGCCTTATCACTACAGAAAACCACCCAGCTGCAACAACAAACAATCAGGAAGTAAAGAACAAATATACAAAACAAACCAGGCATAAATATACAAAAACCAGAAAAACATCAATAAATGACAGGAGTAAGTCCTCATCTATCAGTAATAACCTTGAAAGTAAATGGATTAAATTCCTCATTTAAAATATATAGACTGACTGAATGAATTAATAAAAACATGACCCAATAATACGCTGCCTACAAGAAATTCACTTCACTGTAAACACAACTGAAAGTGAAATGATGAAAAAGATATTTTAGGCAAACAGAAGCCAAAAGTGAGCAGGAGTAGCAATACAAACAGACTTCAACTCAAAAGCTGTAAAGAGACAAAGAAAGACATTATATAACAAAGGGATCACTTTGGAAAGAAAATGCCACAATTGTAAACATACATATACCCATCACCAGAGCACCCAGAAATATAAAGCAAATATTCTATCTAAAGGGAGAGATAGACCCCTATACAACAATAGTCAGGGACTTAATTCAACATCCCACTCTCAGCATTGGATAGATTACCAACACAGAAAAATGAACAGTGAAACATCACATTTAAATTCTGTCATAGCAAGGAGGAGTTCGTACCATACCTTTTGAAACTATTCCAATCAATAGAAAAAGAAGGAATCCTCCCTAACTCATTTTATGAGGCCAGCATCATCCTGATACCAAAGCCTAGCAGAGACACAACAACAAAAAGAGAATTTTAGACCAATATCCCTGATGAACATCCATGCAAAAATCCTCAATAAAGTACTGGCAAACCGAATCCAGCAGCACATCAAAAAGCTTATCCACCATGATCAAGTGGGCTTCATCCCTGGGATGCAAGGCTGGTTCAACATATGCAAATCAATAAACGTAATCCAGCCTATAAGCAGAACCAAAGACAAAAACCACATGATTATCTCAATAGATGCAGAAAAGGCCTTTGCGAATTCAACAGCCCTTCATGCTAAAAACTCTCAATAAATTAGGCATTGATGGCACATATCTAAAAATAATAAGAGCTATTTATGACAAAACCACAACCAATATCATACTGAATGGACAAAACCTGGAAGCATTCCCTTTGAAAACCAGCACAAGACAACGACACCCCCTCTCATGACTCCTATTCAACATAGTATTGGAAGTTCTAGCCAAGACAATCAGGCAAGAGAAAGAAATAAAGGGTATTCAAATAGGAAAAGAGGAAGTCAAATTGTCTCTGTTTGCAGATGACATGATTGTATACCTAGAAAAACCCATCGTCTCAGCCTCAAATCTCCTTAAGCTGAAAAGCAACTTCAGCAAAGTCTCAGGATACAAAATTAATGTGCAAAATCACAAGCATTCTTATACATCAATAACAGACAAACAGAGAGCCAAATCATGAGTGAACTCCCATTCACAATTGCTTCAAAGAGAATAAAATACCTAGGAATCCAACTTACAAGGGATGTGAAGGACCTCTTCAAGGAGAACTACAAACCACTGCTCGATGAAATAAAAGAGGACACCAACAAATGGAAGAACATTCCATGCTCATGGATAGGAAGAATCAATATCGTGAAAATGGCCATACTGCCCAAGGTAATTTACAGATTCAATGCCATCCCCATCAAGCTACCAATGACTTTCTTCACAGAATTGGAAAAAACTACTTTAAAGTTCATATGAACCAAAAAAGAGCCCGCATCGCCAAGTCAATCCTAAGCCAGAAGAACAAAGCTGGGGCATCATGCTACTTGATTTCAAACTATACTACAAGGCTACAGTAACCAAAACAGCACGGTAATGGTACCAAAACAGAGATATAGACCAATGGATCTACAGCCATCTGATCTTTGACAAACCTGACAAAAAGAAGAAACGGGGGAAGGATTCCCTATTTAATAAATGGTGCTGGGAAAACTGGCTAGCCATATGTAGAAAGCTGAAACTGGATCCCTTCCTTACACCTTATACAAAAATTAATTCAAGATGGATTAAAGACTTAAATGTTAGACCTAAAACCATAAAAACCCTAGAAGAAAACCTAGGCAATACCATTCAGGACATAGGCATGGGCAAGGACTTCATGTCTAAAACACCAAAAGCAATGGCAACAAAAGCCAAAATTGACAAATGGGATCTAATTAAACTGAAGAGCTTTCTGCACAGCAAAAGAAACTACCATCAGAGTGAACAGGCAACCTACAGAATGGGAGAAAATTTTTGCAATCTACTCATCTGACAAAGGGCTAATATCCAGAATCTACAAAGAACTCAAACAAATTTCCAAGAAAAAAACAAACAACCCCATCAAAAAGTGGACAAAAGATATGAACAGAGACTTCTCAAAAGAAGACATTTATGCAGCCAACAGACACTTGAAAAAATGCTCATCATCACTGGCCATCAGGGAAATGCAAATCAAAACTACAATGAGATACCATCTCACACCAGGTAGAATGGCGACCATTAAAAAGTCAGAAAACAAGAGGTGCTGGAGAGGATGTGGAGAAATAGGAACACTTTTACACTGTTGGTGGGACTTTAAACTAGTTCAACCATTGTGGAAGACAGTGTGGCGATTCCTCAAGGATACAGAACTAGAAATACCATTTGACCCAGCCATCCCATTACCAGGTATATACCCAAAGGACTATAAATCATGCTGCTATAAAGACACATGCACACATATGTTTATTGTGTCACTATTCACAATAGCAAAGACTTGGAACCAACCCAAGTGTCCATCAATGATAGACTGGATTAAGAAAATGTGGCACATATACACCATGGAATACTATGCAGCCATAAAAAAGGATAAGTTCATGTCCTTTGTAGGGACATGGATGAAGCTGGAAACCATTATTCTCAGCAAACTATTGCAAGGACAAAACAAAACAAAACAAAACACTGCGTGTTCTCACTCATAGGTGGGAATTGAACAATGAGAACAGTTGGACACAGGAAGGGGAACATCACACACCAGGACCTGTCGTGGGGTGAGGGGAAGGGGGAGAGATAGCATTAGGAGATATACCTGTTGTAAGTGACTAGTTAATGGGTTCAGCACACCAACATGGCACATGTATACCTGCACGTTGTGCACACGTACCCTAGAACTTAAAGTATAATAAATAAATAAATAAAATAAAAAATAAAAATAAACTGTACCATGGAACAAATGGACTTAGCATATATTTAGTGAACATTTCACCCAACAGCTGCAGAATATATATTATTTTCATTGGCATATGGAACATTCCCCAGGATTTACCATATGTAAAAACACAACATAAGCCCCCAAAAATATTTTTAAAAATAAAAATCATATCAAGTATCTTATCAAAATGGAATAAAATTAGACATCATTAACAAGAGGAATATTTGAAACTATACAAGTACAAGAAAATTAAACATGCTCCTGCATGACCAATAGATGAGGAAAAAATTAAGAATAAATTAGGCCGGGTGCAGTGGCTCATGCCTGTAATCCCAGCACTTTGGGAGGCCGAGGTGGGTGGATACAAGGTCAGGAGATTGAGACCATCCTGGCTAACACAGTGAAACTCTGTCTATACTAAAAATACAAAATAAATTAGCAGGCATGGTGGCGGGCACCTGTAGTCCCAGCTACTCGGGAGGCTGAGGCAGGAGAATGGCGTGAACCTGGGAGGTGGAGCTTGCAGTGAGCCAAGATCACGCCATTGCCCTCCAGCCTGGGCGACAGAGCAAGACTGTCTCAAAAAAAAAAAAGAATAAAAAAAAAAAAAAAATGAAGATAGAAACACAGCAAACCAAAACCCAAAAACCTACAAGACATAGCAAAAACAGTACTAACTAATGTTTATAGCAATAAATGCCTACATCAAAAAGCTAGAAAAGGCCAGGCACAGTTGCTCACATCTTCAATTCCAGCATTTTGGGAGGCTGAGACAGGAGCATCACTTGAAGCCAGGAGTTCAAGACCATCCTGGACAACATAAGACCCTATCAATCTATCAATCAATCAGTAGACAGACAAGAGGATTTCTTCGGCCTAGGGGTTCAAGACAAGCCTGGGCAACATAGTGAGACCGCCATCTCTACAAATAATTACAAATAAAAATAAAATGAACCCAAATCTAAAAAAACTAGAAAGATTTTAAATAAACAATTCTAATAATACATCTCAAGAAAGTAGAAAAGCAAAAACAAACCCAGGACAAAACAGCTTCACAGCTGAATTCTACTGAACCTTTAAAGAAGTATACCAGTTCTCCTGAAACTATTCCAGAAAAATTGAAAGAGAGGGAATTCTTTCTAAATCATTCTATGAGGCCAGCATAATTCTGATAACAAAACCAGACAAAGACACAAATGAAAAAGAAAACTATGGGCCAATATCCCTGAAAAACATAGACAGAAAAAATCCTCAACAAAATACTAGGAAACAAAATCTACCAACATTGGGTTACAAATATCTCTTTGATGTACTTATTTCCTGCCCCTTGGGTAAATACTCAGTAGTGGGATTGCAGGATTGAACAACAGTTATATTTTTAGTTTTTGAGAAATCTCCATACTGTTCTCCATAATGGATGTAGTATTTTACGTTACCAACAACAATGTATAAGAGTTCCCTTTTCTCTGTATCCCTGTTGGCATTTGGTTTTAGTCTTTTTGGTCATAGCCATCCTAACTGGGGTTAGATGATACCACACTGTGATTCTGATTTGCATTCCCCTGATGATTGGTGACACTGAACATTTTTTCATGTAATTCTTGGCCGTAAGTGCCTTCTTTTGAGAAATGTCTGTTCAGATTATTTGCCCATTTTCGAATTTGATTTTTTTCTCTTGAGATTTTGAGTTCCTTGTTTATCCTAGATATTAATCACCTGTCAGATCAATATTTGCAAGTATTTTCTCCCATTCTATAGGCTGTGTTTTAACTCTGTTGATTGTTTCTTTTGCTGTGCAAAAGCTTTTTAGTATTATATAATCCCATTTATTTTTGCTTTTGGTTGGCTGTGCCTTTGAGGTCTTATTCATAAAATCTTTTCTCAGACCAAAGATATGGAATTAACCTAAGTGCCCATCAATGAATGAATGCATAAAGAAAATGTGGTGTATGTACACAGTGAAATAGTGTTCAGCCACAAAAAATAATGAGATCCTGTCATTTGCAGCAACATGGATAAAACTGGAGGACCTTGTGTTAAGTGAAATAAGCCAGGCACAGAAAGTTAAACACTACATGTCCTCCATTCATTTGTGGAAGGTGAAAAAGAAACCCTGATCTCATAGAAGTAAAAAGTAGAACAGAGTATAATAGAGGATAGGAAGGGTAGAGAGAAATAAGGGATAGGGAGAGATTTGTTGAAGGATACAAAATTATAGCTAGATAAGAGGAACAAATTCTAGTGTTCTATACCACTAATGTAGGATGACTATAGTTAACCATAATGTATTGTATAGTTTCAAACAGCTAGAAGGAGGATATTGAATGTTCTCACCACCAAGAAATGATAAGTGTTTGAGATGGATATGCTAATTACCTTGCTCTGATCACTACACATTATATGTAGCGAAACATTACTATGTACCCCCATAAATATGTACAACTATTGCATGAATTTAAAAAATTTAAATTAAATTAAAGTTCACCTTTTCTCCCAGAGATTAATCCATTAGTAATGGGAAGGCACAATTACCCAGGCTCAAGCGTTTTCAGGTCTAATAGGAAAAATAGGGCCAAGAGAACCAACTCTATGACAATAAAAGAGCCAAGATTATGAGGCAGGAAGGACTTGGATCTTGAGTTCAAAAAGAAGGTAGAAGTCATATCTCTTTAGGATTATCTTCACAGTGGAGAGCAGAAAAACATACAAAGTTCTGGGATTTTAAAAAAAACTGTCTGGTGTGAGTAGGTTGAAGGTTAAAAAAAAGAAAAGAAAAAAACTGTCAACCAATAATTTTATACCCAGCAAAGTTTGAGAGATCATAGATCATAGATCTGCCTAACATGAAATACTAAACAAATACTAAAGAAAGTCTTCATACCGAGAGGAAATAACATAGGATGGTCGCTTGAATCCACAGAATGACTGAAATGGTAAATATGTCAATAAGTATAAAAAATGTATACATGTTCTAATTTCTTCTTTTAATTGCTTTAAGAGACATAAGATTATATAAAGCAGTAATTACAACCCTATATTGTTGGGTTTATATTATAAATTGTTATATTATGACAATAACAGCACAAAGCTATATTAAAGCAAAGTTATATTTTACTGTAATTAAGTCTGTATTAACCTGATGTAGACAATTATAAATTATGAGGCATATAGTAATCCCCAGCAGAATTGCTAAGAAAATAACTCAAGCATACTTAAGAATTTGAAAGAGGAATTAAAATTATACACTAAAAAATTTTTTTCACACCAAAGAAGGCCATAAAAGAGGAACAGATAAAAAAAAACATAACATATCTAAAAAACAAATAACAAAATGGCAGCCACAGGTCCAATGAAACAAATAAATTACAGTAAGTGCACTAACATTCTAATTAAAAGGCAGAGATTTTCAGATCAGATTTAAATAGCAATATTCAACTATATGCTATCAAAAGAGACAATACAGAATCCAAGACACAACTGGATGTAAATAAAAGGATACTAATGTAGTTGGAGTGGCTATATTAATATAAAACAAAATGATACTATTAGAGATAAAAAGGAACATTTAATAATGAGTCAATTTTATTAAAGTAAAACAAATTTTAATTTATAATCATCAAACAAAGGAGCCTCATATCAGAAGAAGTTAAAACTGACAAAATTCAAAGGTGAAAGAGACTATTTAAAAACTATAATTAGAAACTCTGATACTGAACTTTTAATACTGGATAGAACTAATAGACATAAAATCAAAAAGGATATGGAAGAATTGAACAACACTAAGTCCTTTGAACCTAACTGGTATATAATATGGTAAGATGCATATAACCACCTACTTTCCACCCAAGAGAGAAATGAATGTTTACCTCAAGTACACATGGAACATTCTCCAGGATAGACCATATGGCAAGCCATAAAACAATCATTCAAAGTATGCTATTTGACCACAATGGAATTTAATTACCAATTAATAGAAATAAATTTGAGAAATCTCTAAATATTTGAAAATTAAATAACACAGTTATGAATAACCCATAGGACTAAGAAGAAATCACAAGGTAAATTAGAAATTATTTTGGCCTGAATGAAAACAAAAGCACAACATTACAAAAGATATAAGTTGGAGCTAATGCAGTGCTCAACATATATAGCTTTAAAAACAAATATTTGAAAAAAGAGAATCTTGAATCAATAACCTAAGCTTCACCTTAAGAAAAACAGACAAAGAGCAAATTCAACCAAAACAAGCAGAAGAAATAAAAATGACTAAGGAAAAGTCCCCAACTCATTCTAAGAGGTTATTTATATTTTGATACTAAAGCCAGATACAGACTTCACTAGTAAAGAGAAAACAGACCAAAATAAACATAGACACAAAAATCCAGAAAAAACATTAGACATTGAATCCAGCAACATACGAAAAGAATTATATTCCATGAACAAATGGGATTTATCCCAGGAATGCAAACTTGGTTAACAAATGAAAATCAATTAATGCATATTCAAAGATTAGATCAAAAAATGACATGATTATCTCAGATTTTTTTTTAGAAAAACTGTTTAACAAAGCCTAACATCAATTCATGATTAAAAACAAACTAGAACTAGATGTATACTTTCTCAGCCTCATAACGGGAGTCTACAAAAATGTTTTTGTTGTCTCCTATTTATCTCACTGATGAGGGAGGCATTCTTGTCCTAGGATTCTAGAGATAGATACACAATACCTGACACTGGACAGATGAGATCAACAGCAGTTATTAGTCACATATACTCACAGCTTAGGGGAGGAGGACACCACATGCCATGTGGGGCCACTCGGGGGTTGCAATGGGAAATTGAACATCCGGGGATTATGGGAGGCAGGCTTTGTAGTTTCAAGAGGGTCAGGTGACCCCCGTCTGTGGGAGGTCTGTGTTGTCTGTGGGAGGATGTGATTGGCTTGTTTGAATAATTCCATGGGCTGGCAGGGAACTGAAACCCACTACTCAGAGATAAGCAGGAACTGCACCTGTTCTGTTTGATAAAGGGAATTGTTTAACTATGTGACCTTAGCCATGGGAACAGAACAGAGTGGGGAACTTGCTGTTAGGCCATTTGAGGACATCCCGCTTTTACCAAACGTCAAGACAGCATGTAATTCTGAGCCTTAATTTTAGGCTTTATACTACACAACAAACAACAGAGAAGAAACCCCTACAGCTAATGTAATACTGGTGAAAGAACAGATGCTTTGTCCCTGAAATTGGGAAAAAAGCAAAGATATCTGCTCTTGCCACTTCTATCAACATTGTACCAGAAGTTTAGCCAGCACAATAAGGCAAGAAGAGAAATTAAAATTATGCAAATTAGAAAGGAAGACATTAAACTGTTTTATTTGTAGATGATATGGTATTTTATTTGCAGATGACATGTATAAAATCCTAAAGAATCTTTAAAAAGCTGCTAAAACTAATAAACAGGGTTAGCAAGCTTTAAGGACATAATATTAATATATACAAATCAATTATATTTGTATATACTAGCAATTAACAATCTGAAAACAAAATTAAGATAATTTCCCTCATAACAGCATTGCTAAAAGGAACTAAAAAAGACCTCAATAAATGGAAAGACATAACCTGTTAATAGATTGGAAGACTCAATATCATTAAGATGGTAATTCTTCCCAAATTTATCTAGAGTCAATGTCATCCTGATTTCAGCAAGCTTTTTATAGAAATGAGTATATCAATCCTAAACTTCATATGGAAATACAAATAACCTAGAATAGCCAAAACAATTCTGAAGAACAAAAGTGGAGACCTTACACTTTTTTATTTTTAAACTTACCATAAAGCTACAGTAATCAAAACAGTATAGTATTGACATAAGAATAGACATATAGATTAATATAACAGAAGAGAGAGAGTCTAGAAATAAATCTTTACATTTATGGTGAACTGAGTTTTGACAATGGTTTTGCAAAGCAATTCAATGGGGAAAAGAAAAATCTTTTCTGCAAATGATGCTAAGACAATTGGCTATCCACACGCACAAAAAATAGAACTTAGACTGTTATTTCACACTACAAAGAAAAAAAATAAAAAATGGATTATAGACCTAAATGTAAGAGCTAAAACTATAAGACTTCTAGAAAACATGAGAAAATCTCTGTGACACTGGATTAGAAAAGATTTCTTAAATATGACACCAAAAGCCTGTTCAATTTAAATAAGAAGTTGGTAAATTAGACTTTCAAAATTAAAAACATTTGCTCCTTAAAAAACATCATTAAGAAAACAGAATGATAAGCCATAGACTAAGAAAAAAATTTTGCAAATCATTTGATAAAGAGATTTTTTATATCCAGAATATGTAAATAACTCTTAAAACTCAATCATAAGAACATAAGTTACCCAATTTAAAAATGGGCAATAGGCTTAAACAGACATTTCACTGTAAACATATATAAATGGCTAATAAGCATATGAAAAGATGCTCAATATCATTAGTCATTAAAGAAATGCAAATTAAAATCACAGTGAGATATCATTCCACACCCATCAAAATAAAGAAAAAGACAGTACCAAATGTTAGTAACTCTGTGAAGTATGTGAAGTATCTGGAACCCTCATGCATTGGTCCTGAGAGTGTAAAATGGTACAGCCACTTTAGGAAACATTTTGGCAATGGCTTCAAAAGTTAAAGTTAACTTACTATTATCTAGCAATTTCACTCCTAGAGACCAAAATGAAAACATGTCCTACAAAGACCTGTATATGAATGTGCATAGTAGCATTATTCATAGTAGCCAAAAATTGGAAACAATTCAAATGTCTATCAGCTAGTGAATGGATAACAAAGATACAGAATATTTTCATCACAACAAAGATCCCTGTGTTGCCCTTTTATAACCCCACTCAACTCTCTATCCCACTTCACCAGCCACCTCCAACTCCCAACCCATGGCAACCACTAATCAGCTCTGTTTTCAATAATTTTGTCATTCCAGAAATCTTATATGATGGAGTCATATAGTTTGAAATCTTTCAGGATTGACTTTTTTTCCCCCACTCCGCATAATTCCCTGGAGGCTCATCCAAATTGTTGCCTGCATAATTATCCATTTTGTTTTATTACTGAGTAGAAATCCGTGGTGTGATGGTTAATATTAAGTGTCAATTTGATTGGATTGAAGGATGCAAAGTATTGTTCCTGGGTATGTCTGTGAGGGTGTTGCCAAAGGAGATTAACATTTGAGTCAGTGGACTGGGGAGAGGCCCACCCACCCTCAATGTGGGTGGGCACCATCTGATCAACTGCTAGAATAAAGCAGACTTGCCGAGTCTTCTGGCCTTCATTCAGTGCTGGATGCTTCCTGCCCTCGAACTTCCTGCCCTTGAAGACTCCAAGTTCTTCAGCTTTCAGACTTTGGACTTACACCAGTGGTTTGCCAAGGTCTCTCAGGCCTTTGGCCACAGACTGAAGGCTGCACTGTTGGCTTCCAAACTTTTGAGGTTTTGGGCTTCCTTGCTCCTCAGCTTGCAGACGGCCTGTTGTGGGACTTCACCTTGTGATTGTGTGAGTCAATTCTCCTTAATAACAAACTTCCTTTCATATATACATACATCCTATTAGTTCTGTTCCTCTAGAGAACCCTGACTAATACACACGGTACATACCACACATACCAGTTTGTTAACCATGAACCCAGTCAAGAACATTTAAGTTGTTTCCAGACTTTGGCAGTTACAAATAAAGCTGCTATGGACATTTGCGTATATTATATGAGCCTAAGTTGTCATTTCTCTGGGATAAACACCCAAGGGTGCAACTGCTGGATTGTATGGTAACTACATGTTTACTTGAAGAAATTGCCAAACTGTTTTCCAGAGTGGCCGGGAATTATCTTTTAAAAAGTAGTTCTGTTTATTGTTAACCATGACCAGACAAAAAATAAAAAGAAATACATCTTTATTCAGGTCTTTTATAGGAATAAGATACTAGAAGTCTATTCAGACTCCCTTATCATAGTTTAATTAGTGAGAAAAGGTGACAGTACATTATGATCAAAGCATCTTTGCAAAAAAGCAATTTATTACTAAAAGCAGCTTAAAAT
Organism: Homo sapiens; assembly: GCF_000001405.40. Lineage (NCBI taxonomy): Eukaryota > Metazoa > Chordata > Mammalia > Primates > Hominidae > Homo > Homo sapiens. The sequence goes on along the minus strand of NC_000007.14, from coordinate 112,723,079 downwards.
TTTACAGATAATTTCAATGTTGACCTAGCAGCTCAACAACAGTAGTACTTCTATGGTGCATTGATGCAACATTTGGCATTAAGCAGAGTCTGAATGTTTTACTCAACATTTTGGGATGAAAATACAGGAAACATATGCCACATATCCATATATATATATATATATATATATATATGCACACACACATATATATATATATGCATACATCTACTTATCTTGGTTTATTTTTATTCAAGAACAAGCTCTCAGAAATATAGAGACATTTTTTCTTCCCCAAACAAAATAAACCCTGTCCTTCAAGGCTGAAAATTAAATATTTCAGAGGATTTTTGAATAATTTAAGAAGGTTCCAAACCTTGAGGCATGTCCATTATGAAATCATTACTACACATTTTTGGGGGGGCTACTCTGTTCTTTTGAAATCTGAATTCAACAGGAGTTCTGTAAAAAAGACATTCATGTTCCCTGTGTGGGGCACCATCCCCAACCTTAAAGCTTTTCAGTTCATTGCATATGTATGCATATGCATCCTAAACCAGATTTAAAAGCCATCACAAGAATCTACCTGCATATGTACTATGTAGGATTTTCTTTCTGTATTTACCAGTCACCTGGGTTTCTGCCCATTCCAGTTTAGCATTTCATGCTACCCTCTATACAACTCTACTCAACCACATCTGAATACCTGTCTATAGGGAAATCATAGATCCAAAGGCATTCAGTGCAGGACAAATCACCAGAAATCCTACTTACAATCATGAGTGTCTGCTGGTTCATTTTATACAAACGAAAGTCACTTTTCATCTTTGATGACATTTCTACTATCACTGTTGCCAGGTTGGAGCTGCTACAACGTCTCTTTGTTCCTGTCAGTCACTCTTATTATCAACATTCATGTAGCCCTTAATAATGAATTTTTATCTCTTTTTGGTGTAATACTGGCTTACCTGAAGGAGTTATAACCTTTTCCAATATTCAACAACTATAACACATATTTATATTCAACTATAACACATATTCATTGAGTGTCTACTATTTTCACTGTGATATTCTACTATTTCACTGGATATTCTGTGGCGACAGAAATAAACACAGTTCCCTCCCCAATGGTGAAAACAGATATTAAGCAGATCATCACACAGTAATTAAGTAACATGGTAATTACTTAATTACCATGTTAGAAAGCATAAGAAAAAAGTGTGTGTGTGAGAGAGAGAGAGAGAGAGAGAGAGAGAAAGAGAGAGTGTGTGTGGGGGTGTGTGTGTGTGTATGTATGTATGCAGGTATGGGGAAATATATGCATAAAGGGACTAAGTATAACCTGGCAAAAAATTGTAGGCAAGAAAAAGATGTTCAAGCTGAGATCTGAAAATGATTTGGAGTTGGTTCAATGGAAGAAGTGTCACTAAAGTGAGAAGAATTTTGGCATAGTTAAAAGCACACTGAATGTCACTGTGGCTGGAACTCAGAGTTAAGTAAGAGAGGAGAGCTGGGGAGGTAGGCAGGAGCGAGACTGTGCCAGGTCTCATAGGCTCTGAATGTTATTCAAGTTGCATTTGAAGAATTTTTAAGCAGGGTTTAACCTAGTCATAATCAGATTTGCATTTTAAAAGGATCACTCTTGAAGAATGAAACAAGTAATAATTTTGGCTCAGATTGGAGGAGAACATGGAGGGAGGCCAATTAGAAGCCTTTTATAGAAGTTCAGGAGAGAAATGACGGATTTCTTGTATTATTGTGTTGGGACCAAATAATAAGAAAAATACCTTAGAGGTAAAGCTAAGAAGACATGGTTTCCAGGCAGAGCAACTGAGTAGATAGGGCACATTTAGGGAATATGAATTCAGTTTGGGACATATTGAGTAGATACCTAGAATGTAAGTTCTCCCAGGACACTTTTTGCCTGTTTTGTTCACTGCTGCATCCTAGGGCCTTACGAGATAATCAAGTAGAGATGTTGAAAAAGCAGTGAAATTTACATGGATTCATAGTTGAGAGGAGAGGTTTGGGCTTGAATTAAAAATGTAGAAGTCAGCTGTATACAGATGCTATCAGAAGTTGGGACAATGACTAGCTCCTCATGAGGCTGGGGAGTGGCAAAAGACAAGATCCAGGGCTAGTGCCCACCTCAATTGTTAACAGCTCTCTGTAACACCAAATGCGATGGCCAAATCACTTAATTATCATTCTCGCCATTATGTGGGAAACCCAGTGTAGTGCATATTCTGAAGGGGTCTTGAAGGCATTCAGGTCCCAGCATTTCCATTGCAGCATTCATTTTGGATCTGTCCCATTGGAATACTAAGCCTCTCATCCGTACGGTATCATTTCTCTACGCCAACTCTTTTATTCAAGGGAAATGGGTGGAAAGAAATCAGGAAAATTGGTTACAGCCTAAAATGCAACATGATGCTGAAATGTCAATGGAAGATACAGATTTAATGTTTTACCCTTTCCAGCTATCATATAAAGATCCAAGTTGGACAAATAGGATAAATTTTTAGTGGGGAAGGCAGTTCCATGCTTTTTATGACTCTACTACTTTCTCTACCTTTTATTCCTTCTTTCAGTCCTTCTGGAAGAAGTTCTCCTATTTCTCACTTTTCTGAATGCACCCAGAGCAGAAAGAGATTTGTCAATCTCCTGTATACACTTATAGTGAACTAAATTTATTGTGAGAAAAGAAAACATTGCCTTTACATATTGTGTTATCCTTTTTACATAAACCTGGGTGTCATCAGAATCTTTGATATATTACTAATCTAATGAGCTTTGAATCTATATATTTCATACTTAATTTCTCCTTAATAAAATGAGATCCTTTCATAGTATGACAGTTGCTAAAAATACAAATCCACAGATGAAATCAAATCATCTATCTTTATAAGAATTAATTCCAAAATGTAACTTACTTGTCCTATCCATGTCTCAATTTCTCTAAAAAAATTTGCTTATTATAATGTAAACTGACTTAAGTGGCCAATACAAATTGTCACCAAAATTGAGTAATCAAAAGTCACTGAGAGCTAAGTTTAAAACAAAACAAAACCCATAGGTCCCTCTGTTTTGTGTGTCTACAATAAAGATTATTTTTCTCACAATTAAGCAAAAGACTTTTCAAAAGATGGAAATCACAGATTCATTCTGCTTAAGGTCTTCTTCTCTGTACATGACCCCCAAAACTCTAATTAACGAAGTTCATTGAATAAATATGACTGTGATTATAATTCATTTTATATCATTAGTTGAATTGATTTAAAATTTTACTATTAACATACTTGTTACGTGGCTTTTATAAAGAACTGTTAACCCAATGAAAACATTGTTAACCCACAGAATATACATTCTTCTCAGCACCACATCACGCTTATTCCAAAATTGACCACATAATTGGAAGTAAAGCACTTCTCAGCAAATGTAAAAGAACGGAAATTATAACCAACTGTCTCTCAGATCACAGTGCAATCAAACCAGAACTCAGGATTAAGAAACTCACTCAAAACCGCTCAACTACATGGAAACTGAACAACCTGCTCCTGAATGACTACTGGGTACATAACGAAATGAAGGCAGAAATAAAGATGTTCTTTGAAACCAATGAGAACAAAGACACAACATACCAGAATCTCTGGGACACATTTAAAACAGTGTGTAGAGGGAAATTTATAGCACTAAATGCCCACAAGAGAAAACAGGAAAGATCTAAAATTGACACCCTAACATCACAATTAAAAGAACTAGAGAAGCAAGAGCAAACACATTCAAAAGCTAGCAGAAGGCAAGAAATAACTAAGATCAGAGAAGAACTGAAGGAGATAGAGACACAAAAAAACCCTTCAAAAAATCAATGAATCCAGGAGCTGGTTTTTTGAAAAGATCAACAAAATTGATAGACTGCTAGCAAGACTAATAAAGAAGAAAAGAGAGAAGAATCAAATAGACGCAATAAAAAATAATAAAGGGGATATCACCACTAGTCCCACAGAAATACAAACTACCATCAGAGAATACTATAAACACCTCTACGCAAATAAACTAGAAAATCTCGAAGAAATGGATAAATTCCTGAACACATAAACTTTCCCAAGAGTAAACCAGGAAGAAGTTGAATCCCTGAATAGACCAATAACAGGCTCTGAAATTGAGGCAATAATTAATAGTCTACCAACCCAAAAAAGTCCAGGACCAGACAGATTCACAGCCGAATTCTACCAGAGGTACAAGGAGGAACTGGTACCATTCCTTCTAAAACTATTCCAATCAATAGAAAAAGAGGGAATCCTCCCTAACTCATTTTATGAGGCCAGCATCATCCTAATACCAAAGCCTAGCAGAGACACAACAAAAAAAGAAAATTTTAGACCAATATCCCTGATGAACATCCATGCAAAAATTCTCAATGAAATATTGGCAAACCGAATCCAGCAGCACATCAAAAAGCTTATCCACCATGATCAAGTGGGCTTCATCCCTGGGATGCAAGGCTGGTTCAACATATGCAAATCACTAAATATAATCCAGTCTATAAACAGAACCAAAGACAAAAACCACATGATTATCTCAATAGATGCAGAAAAGGCCTTTGACAAAATTCAACAACTCTTCATGCTAAAAACTCTCAATAAATTAGGTATTGATGGGACATATCTCAAAATAATAAGAGCTATTTATGACAAACCCACAGCCAATATCATACTGAATGGGCAAAAACTGGAAGCATCCCCTTTGAAAACTGGCTCAAGACAGGGATGCCCTCTCTCACCAATCCTATTCAACATAGTGCTGGAAGTTCTAACCAGGGCAATCAGGCAGGAGAAAGAAAGAAAGGGTATTCAATTAGGAAAAGAGGAAGTCAAATTGTCTCTGTTTGCAGATGATATGATTGTAAATCTAGAAAACCCCATCGTCTCAGCCCAAAGTCTCCTTAAGCTGATAAGCAACTTCAGCAAAGTCTCAGGATACAAAATCAATGTGCAAAAATCACAAGCATTCTTATACACCAATAACAGACAAACAGAGAGCCAAATCATGAGTGAACTCCCATTCACAAATGCTTCAAAGAGAATAAAATACCTAGGAATCCAACTTACAAGGCATGTGAAGGACCTCTTCAAGGAGAACTACAAACCACTGCTCAATGAAATAAAAGAGGATACAAACAAATGGAAGAACATTCCATGCTCATAGATAGGAAGAATCAATATCGTGAAAATGGCCATACTGCCCAAGGTAATTTATAGATTCAATGCCATCCCCATCAAGTTACCAATGATTTTCTTCACAGAATTGGAAAAAACTACTTTAAAGTTCATATGGAACCAAAAAAGAGCTCACATCGCCAAGTCAATCCTAAGCCAAAAGAACACAGCTGGAGGCATCACGCTACTTGACTTCAAACTATATTACAAGGCTACAGTAACCAAAACAGCATGGTTACTGTAGCAAAACAGAGATATAGACCAATGGAACAGAAAAGAGCCCTCAGAAATAATACCACACATCTACAACCATCTGATCTTTGACAAACCTGACAAAAAGAAGAAATGGGGGAAGGATTCCCTATTTAATAAATGGTGCTGGGAAAACTGGCTAGCCATATGTAGAAAGCTGAAACTGGATCCCTTCCTTACACTGTATACAAAAATTAATTCAAGATGGATTAAAGACTTAAATGTTAGACCTGAAACCATAAAAACCCTAGAAGAAAACCTAGGCAATACCATTCAGGACATAGGCATGGGCAAGGACTTCATATCTAAAACACCAAAAGCAATGGCAATGAAAGCCACAATTGACAAATGGGATCTAATTAAACTAAAGAGCCTCTGCACAGCAAAAGAAACTACCATCAGAGTGAACAGGCAACCTACAGAATGGGAGAAAATTTTTGCAATCTACTCATCTGACAAAGGGCTAATATCCAGAATCTACAATGAACTCAAACAAATTTACAAGAAAAAAACAACCCCATCAAAAAGTGGGCAAAGGATATGAACAGACACTTCGCAAAAGAAGACATGTACGCAGCCAACAGACACATGAAAAAATGCTCATCATCACTGGCCATCAGAGAAATGCAAATCAAAACCACAGTGAGATACCATCTCACACCAGTTAGAATGGTGATCATTAAAAAGTCAGGAAACAACAGGTGCTGGAGAGGATGTGGAGAAATAGGAACACTTTTACACTGTTGGTGGGACTGTAAACTTGTTCAACCATTCTGGAAGACAGTGTGGTGATTCCTCAAGGATCTAGAACTAGAAATACCATTTGACCCAGCCATTCCATTACTGGCTATATACCCAAAGGATTATAAATCATGCTGCTATAAAGGCACATGTACACGTATGTTTATTGCAGCACTATTCACAATAGCAAAGACTTGGAACCAACCCAAATATCCATCAATGATAGACTGGATTAAGAAAATGTGGCACATATACACCATGGAATACTATGCAGCCATAAAAAGGATAAGTTCACGTCCTTTGTAGGGACATGCATGAAACAAGAAACTATCATTCTCAGCAAACTATCACAAGAACAAAAAAACCAAACACTGCCTGTTCTCACTCATACATGGGAATTGAACGATGAGAACACTTGGACACAGGAAGGGGAACATCACACACTGGGGCCTGTTGTAGGGTGTGGGGAGGGGGAAGGGATAGCATTAGGAGATATACCTAATGCTAAATGACGAGTTAATGGGCACAGCACACCAACATGGCACATGTATACATATGTAACAAACCTGCACGTCGTGCACATGTACCCTAGAACTTAAAGTATGATTAAAAAAATAAAAATAAAAAAGAAAGAAAACATTGTTAACTCAGTGAAATGTACCAAGGTCACTCTATAAAATGGGAATAATGATGCCTGCCTCATAAGACTGTGGTGAGAATTAAATGAATTAATGTTTGAAATGCTGTCAGAATAGTCTCTGGCATATAGCAAGCCAAATTCATTTTGGCTGCTATTGCTGCTTTTGCTGCTGACAAACATAATTCCTGCTTATCTGCATTTGCGATGATCAGAGTGGGGATCATGGCTATGGTGGAATTACAATCATTATTGTTTTAAAAATATGGTACATTGGTTACTCAGCAGGAATTTTGTGTATAAATCAAGTAATTTCTAAAGCACTAGAAGAGCCACTATTCAAAAGACTTTTTAAAGCACATAATCAATTTTTCAGGAAAGCCAAAGATTCCCATAAGAAAGTACATTTCCCTGCTGCTACCACATTCCCCTAGCAGGTGTTCCAGTTTGCCTCTGTGACAACCTGCTTGAGAATCGGTTCCAGCCTGGATTGGAAGGAAGTATGCTACAAGAGCTGAGATAGCAAAAGACCTTAGCCGATAAACCTTCACAGTCTGAAAATCATTTGTTTACTTTTCTTATTATCAGCCACTCTTACCTTTCCTGACATGGTCACATGCTGCTTCTCCAGCTCCTTTCTCACCCTTATGATCCTCCATGCCTACCCAGGTCTATCCTCCTGACCCTCAGCCAACGTTTGTCCTGATTCTTCTCAGCGGTTCCCAGAACATCAGATGCGGCTCACCAGCGCGATGTATCTCAGGATCATTCTGGTCTCCTCTCAATTGCACACTCTTCACTTAAACCCTAAGACAACTTGATTGGTCCTAGCTTCCCATCTTTCTGCAGGCCTGAAGCTAGCTGTTACCCTAGCATGACAGACTGTTAAGGAAACTGCTATGGACTCACAGGTCTCCATGTGTCTGGGAAGAGTTATGAATCCTCCTGAACTCCATTCTTACCTTTTGTTCCATACCTTCTTCCTCCTACCTGAGCATTTTATAAGAAATCCAAGGAATGATAAATGTTTGTGAGAAGATAGTTGTAAGTCATTGTTTCAAAGCTGTGTTCTCCCCCACTCCTCTGCCACCTTCCCCCACCACACATTATACAACCTTCAGCAAAAAGTTTGGTTAGTTTCCTTCTGGGCTCCTGTGATAAGGTTGGGAGGGACCCAGGTGTGGCCAGAGTGAACCAAACAAGCTTTTGCACCTTGGTTTTTCAGAAAAAATCAAGAAGAAAATATAGCTTGCGTGGCAAAGTCCCCCAACATGCATGCTAGTGCAACCACTTAAGAACATAGAAATATATAGATTCAAAGCTCGTTAGCCAGTTTCTATGCCTCAATACAGACACAAACCAGGACAAGTTAGAGCCGCAGTCCCATAAGAGCTCTGTTCACTCCAAGGGCATAAGCCAAATTTAAGGATTACCTATGCTTCTGAATCCAAATAGACCTATGGCTGTTGACCTTAAGGAGCAAGTGGAGGCCTTTTCCATTCTTCCATTTCCCTCTACCCTGCACAATTGCTGGAGCCCACTCAACTGGAGAAAACCTACCACAAATGTTCTAAAGTCTAACAAACATTGGAACAACACTCAGCAAAAAAGAATGATTGACTGATACACATAACAACACGAACAAATCCCCAAATAATTATGCTGAGTGGAAGAAGCCGGATGAAATTAGAGTACATACTGTATGACTCTATTTATATAAAATTCTAGAAGATGCAAACTAATCTATAGTAACAGAAAGCCTATCAGTGGTTGCATGACTATGGGGAGGAGCTCACAAAAAGAAAAAGGGGGGAAGGATTACAAAATAGCATGAAGAAACTTTTTGAGGTGATGTGTATGTTTATTTTCTTGCCTTTGGTGCTGGTTTCACAGGTGTGCATGTGTCAAAACTCATCAAATAGCTCATTTTAAATATGTGCTATTTATTTAGGTTATGTCACAATAGAGCTATTTAAAGGTGTGCTCCCACTTCTGCTTATTAATATGGTATATATTAATAAATTTTCTAACATTAAACCAACTCTTCATTCCTAGAATAAATCTCATTTGGTCATGATTTATTATTTTCTCGACATGGTATTGGATTCTGCTTGCTAATTATTTTGTTATTTTTGTGTTCTAGATTTTTTTTACTTTTAACTTTCCTTTCTTTAAATAGTTGCCTATATTCAACATTGGAAAGTTCCATTATCTGAATTCTATATGTTCTAAATCTAATGTTTGTTGTGGTTGCTGACTTTTAGTCATCAAGGTTTGTTTACTTGTGATTGGTAATTTTTCAATTAGGAATTTGTATTTGTTTTAATCTAATGTGTGAGAATCCTAAGAGTTCAAGTAAGTTCTGCTTCTCCATGACCTGTATTTGCTTATGCCAGGCACCAGGAAATACTACCAACCTGGACTACTTTACTTCCTCCAGTTTGGGATTTTCCTGGCTCAATGGACAGTATAAATGTAAACTCCACAATCACAAGTGATTGGATGAGATTTAAAATTCTCTGGAGACACATATTGTGATTTTCGTTGTTGTTGTTGTTTTCCACCCAGTGCAGCAACCCAGACAATCTCCTCTTAGCTGCCTTTTGCTGCTTTGTCAGATTTTTTTCTAACTCATTATTTCATTGAAGTCATAGCTCTTTCAACAGGCCTTGACATTATATTTGCATCCCAGGCTCTATTTCCTTGTCTTGCATAGGCACAAGGCCTGCCCTTTAATTTTCTTAGTGAGTATAAACCCCAAAGCTCTAGATTCTAGGTATCAGCATCTGCCCTAGGGAAGGCCAGTCTTCTATGTTCACTTGCAGCCCTGATTTCAGTCTAGTTTTAAATTTTGGCTCTTAGGAATTTACTTTCTTGCAAACGCAGCCATTTTAAAAAACATGTTTGTTGTTCAGGATCTATGCGTGTTTCAGCTGGATGGCTTTTCAGAGTATTGGATCCATAATACCACAGTGAGAAGTAGATCCTCACTGTCCTAAGCATGAGACCTTTCTCTTCATTAAATTGGACTTCTGTGTAACACATAATCTGGTCAGAAAGCAATCAGTAGATGAGTGGAAAACTTATTCACATTTCTTAGGCCATGCCCTTGGGCTTTTTAAGACCCTAAAGAAAGAAATTTATACATACTCTTTCGGGGATTTTCCAGACTGCTGTTGATTGGGGCCAGTGTGGATGGCAGACAAAAATATCAAATGTTGATAATGCTCTATCATGTTACCAAGAACAAGAGATGTGAATTTCTTACTTCTATGATTCTTCCCAGTAGGCTCCGAATGAAGACCTCTTGCTCAGATAGCCACTGCCATTAGGATTTGCACGCTTTATTAACTACTCATTCACTGCATCATTACCAGTGGCCACAATCACTACACCACTGAAACAGCGAACTCTGTCCCATAGGACCACCGAAGTCCAGCCAGCTTTCCCACAGCAAAGCATGGCCTCTGCTTTAGCACCAGGACCACTTCAATGCAATCTGAAATATCCCCGTGAGGCTGAACCAGATAAATCAAGTCAAGCTAAATAGTTCTAATCAACCTGTCACAGGGCATGCAGATACGCGTGAGAAGCAACCTAACCAGCTCATATGTCAATCAAGGTTTGCATTTTCTATCAGCAGAAAAAAAAAAAAAAAAAAAGCCAGAAAGACAATCTAGACCAGCCCCGGTGTTTGGGATGGTGCTATCACTGAGTACCACTATAAGAGCCACATCTGTTCTTAGTCTAAATCCTGATTTTTTTAAGCCATTCCCAATTAGCTTTCCTTCTGTATTTCCAGGTGAATCTAGCCAGAGATGGAACATTCCTACCTGGAAAAGGGAAGAGTAAAAACAAGTAGAGAGTGTATAATGCACAGTAAGTGACGATCACCTGACTGTGTCATTGCCAAGCCTTTCTGGTTGTTTCTGACCTACTCTCCCCCTCCTTTTCAGCCTCCTCATCTGGTGGTTCTCAAATTGTTGCAGGCAGCAAAATCACAGGTGAACTTAAAATGTTAAATGTCCTGGTTCCATTTTAAAACTAGTGAATGAGAAAGCAAACACAGGCCTGGAGGGCAGCAGGTTCCTCAGGTGATCATACGGGTGGTCCCAGCACGTCACCTTGAGAAACAGAATGTACTTACACAAACCTAGATGGTATAGCCTGCTACACACCTAGGCTGTATGGTATGGCTGATTGCTCCTAGGCTACAAACCTGTACAGCATGTTACTATGCTGACTACTGTAGGCAACTCTAACACAATGGTAAGTACTTGTGTATCTAAACATAGAAAAGATACAGTCAGGCGTGGTGGTGCATGCCTGTAATCCCAGCTACTCGGGAGGCTGAGGCAGGAAAATCGCTTGAACCCGGGAGGTGGAGTTTGCGGTGAGCCAAGATGACGCAATTGCACTCCAACCTGGGCAACAAGAGCGAAACTCTGTCTCAAAAAAAAAAAAAAAAAAAAAAAGGCACAGTTAAAATATAGTATAAAAGATAAAAGATGATACACCTGTATAGGGCACTTACCATGAATGGATCTTGCGGGACTGGAAATTGCTCTAGTGAGTGCTGAGTGAATGTGAGGGCCTGGGACATACCTGTACACTGCTGTAGACTTTATAAACACCGTACACTTAGGTTGCACTGAATTTATAAAAAATATTTTCTTTTTCAAAAATAAATTAACCTTAGCTTACTAGAACTTTTTAGTTTATAAACTTAAATTTTTAAAAACTTTTTGACTCTTTTGCAATAATACTTAGCTTAAAACACAAACACATTATACAGCTATACAAAAACATTTTCTTTATATCCTTATTCTGTTAAGCTTTTTTTTTCTACTTAAAAACTTTTTCAAAATTTTAAAAGCTTTTTTGTTAAAAACTAAGACAAAAACACACACATTATCCTAGGCCTACCCAGGATTAGGGTCATCAGTATGTCTGTCTTCCACCTCCACATCTTGTCCCACTGGAAGGTCTTCGGGAGCAATAACACTTGGAGCTGTCATCTCCTACGATAACAATGCCTTCTTCTGGATACCTCCTGAAGGACCTGCCTGAGGCTGTTTTACAGCTAACTTTAAAAAATATAAGTAGTAGGAGTACACTCTGAAATGATGATTAAAACTATGCTATCCTAAATAGTAAGCCAGTAACATATTCATTATCATGATCAGGTATTATGTACTGTACATAATTTGTATGTGCTGTGGTTTTATACAACTGATAGTGCCATTGGTTTGTTTACACCAGTATCATCACAAACATGCAAGGAATGCATTGTGCTGCCACTTTATGATGGCTCCAGCATCACTAGGCAGTAGGAATTTTTCAGCATCATTATAATCTTGTGGGACCACTTGGGTATATGAAATCCATTGTTAACCCAAATGTTGTTACGCTGCACTTTCCTACTTCTAGTCCTCCTTCCCACCCCAGGTCCATAAAACTTCAGGAGCCCTTTGTTCAGGGCTCCTTCAACACTGAGACAAATCATCTGACCCTCAACCAACATACTATTCCAAGGGGGAAAAATGGAACTGCAGGTGATTGGCGCTTTCTCCCATCTTAGCCTCTTATGAACACTATCACAGTAAGTGATGAAAGACCTCGCTATCACTTCTGTTTGGGCTGGTTGTTTTAATCAGCTACTGACATCTCAGGTCCTCCAGCTTAGTTGAGCTCCTGACTCTTATGAGACACACTGAGCCAAAACCATTTATTTTTAGAAACTATGTGAGATAGTAAGCAAGCTGCAAAACTTGGGAATAATTTGTTACACAGAATTAGATAGTTAATACTGTATCTTTTTCACTTATCTTCTCATGTACATATGGGCTTTCAATCATTTCAAAGTGTTTTTCATATCTATTATCTCCCTTCTTCCTACATATAACAATAGCTAAAACTTACAATATCTGAGTAAACTGCTCTAATAATTTATAACAAATTTATAAATATGAATTCATAAGAGTATAAAATAACAGTCCTTTTATTACCTCTGCTTACAGGCGAGGAGACTGAGATGCTAGATGTTAATAACTTGCCAAAAATCACATAAACAGTAGGAAGTGGAGTAAGGATTCAAACCTTTGTTCCTACCACTACACAGGAAAATAGAGCCCAGAGCAGAGCAGCTATTTGCTTAAGGCCACGCAGCTGGCTAGTACTGATTTCAGGTCACCTGACTCCCCATCCAGGATTCTGAGATAGCCTAGGATTTATGAACAAACTTAGAAACCATTTTCAACTGCCAACCAGAAAGAGTGAGTTGCCCAGAGATTTGGGGGCAGAAACCCTACTCAGGTGTCAAAGTCTGATGCACCCCTTGTGTCTTTATCTGTGTACTGAGGATAATAATCTGACTGGTTGTAGAGTCCTTACATTCTGATGATCTGGATCAAGGCTTTTTCTCACATCTCGACTACACCAGACAAAAGTCACTCAAGCATGAAAGGAATGACAGTGGGGCATAAGTGGAATTCAGCAGAGATTGTTCCAAAGACATTGTTCTCTGCGAGAAGGTACGTTCAGAGGAGTATGATGGAATTGTAATGAAGTAGAGGGATTTAGGGAGATGGTTTTCTGGAATTAAGAGTTAATTCAGATTTATTAAACTGGAATTCCTGATAATTCTGAGAAGCACTGAGCTACAGTTACACATTATGGCATACAAGAAGCTGTATTTACTCACGTTTACATGATACTATTGGAAGAAAGGATGCTTAACTATTTGAGAGAACAAAGACTTCAAATCCTTAAATTCTTTGGAACACTTAAAATGCTGTCTGTGGGCCAGTCATAGTGGCTCATGCCTACAATCCCAGCACTTTGGGAGGCGAGGCAGGTGGATCACCTGAGGTCAGGAGTTTGAGACCAGCCTGACCAACGTGGTGAAACCGCATCTCTACTAAAAATATAAAAATTACCCAGGTATAGTGGCATGCGCCTGCAATACCAGCTACTCGGGAGTCTGAGGCAGGAGAATAGCTTGAACCTGGGAGATGGAGGTTGCAGTGAGCTGAGATTGCGCCACTGCACTCCAGCCTGGGTGACAGAGCAAGACTCCATCTCAAAATAAAATAAAATAAAAATGCTATCTGTGGAATAAATTGGACAGGGCTCTAAAGGGAAGTTCAGTCATCAATGTCAGTGGCTCTCTAGGGAGCTTGCAGAAAATGCAGATTCTCTGGCTTTTCTCTCAGATCAGATTCCTTAGACCAGTTGCAGTCCACCAGGTGATTCTAATGCTACTGATCCATGCACAGTTGTTTGGGGATCTCTGCTGATGTGCTAATTACACAACCCTGAATCTTATCTATTTATTAAAATGCCCCTAAGGACTTCTAGTCCCATAATAACTAGAATTTAGAAATGCTTTTAGAAACGCTTTGTGAAACTTGGAACTGCTAGTTGTTCACACTGGAAATTTATCATTTACTGATTTATCACCACTGCGATTATATTGGATTAGTAAAATTTCATTAGCAATTTGGCTTCACCTACTCCCCCACAGACCTTATCGCAAGACAGTGTAGCTTGGCCCCACTTCAAGCTCTCAAAACAGTCCTTAATCAGTAAAATTTAAGAAACAAATGATTTCACAACTGTACCTCATGTCTGGATGTCCTGGAAATGGCCCCAGTTCCAGTAGCAGAATCTTTGTACTCCAGTCCCAGCACAAGGGTCTTTCCTGGTTCGTTTTCAATTTCATCACTGATCTTTTTGTGTTGTGGAATCCCAAAGGCTGAAATTCCACCAATGAGCCAGCAGTGGGCCTTCTGAGCTTCCTGAATTGACCTCTGACCTTTGTGTGCTACAAGATTCCCTGAATGGTTCACCTGTGCACTGATTACCTCAGATGATCCATTGAGAGAACTTCCTTAATTACCTGCTACAGCCTGCTGGTTCTAACTATTCTCTATGGCCTGCCCCCAGCCCAGTTCAAGTTCTAATAGAGATTTTGTTTCTTACAGCTTTGAAAATTCCCAAGCATACAGGGTTTTCTGAAACAATCTCTCTGGCATATTTAAAATATATTAAATCTTTTTGTTTGTCACCACATAAAAATCACTTATCATAGAAAAAGCACCTCCAAACCAACTTAAAAAATAAAATGAGCTATTAAAATCAAAACCTTCACATTCTTAAAAGAACTTTAATTTTCTGATTTTTTTCAAGAGAGCTCTGTATTTTATTCAAATTCATGAATAATGGATGACATTTCTTTTTAAGTGTCTCATTATGTTTGCAGCATACAAATACAAAGTTTCTTAAAATGGCCTCCTGTCAAATACATATGATTTCTATTTGTCTACTGTTAATGTAATTGACTAAACACTCGATTCTACTGATTAGGCTTTCCCTTGTAAACCACTTACTTTATAGGCATAAGCAGCTGTGTTTATGCTTCTGTGATTTTCTGGTTTCATTATGAAGTTTTCAGCATGCAATTCAAGAGCCATAGGCAGTCTATGCACCCAGGCACCAGCTGGCAAGATCTTTACTGAAAAAGGCAATATTCTGTCAACACTTGTAAATGTCATATAGAAGAATACACGTATGCATATATAAAATCACTGCAGCCACAATAATTGTGAACATGAACAAGAAGAAAACATTAACTTTTCAGAAAATAATTGATCAACAGTCAAAGACCTGAATTTAACCAAGAGCACAAGTGCTTCATCTCCTGCCCTTCTCTCAAACCGAGAACTATGAAGAATTTTGTTTTTTTAAGTTAGGAGTTTGGTATAAATATTCAGAGACAGTGGAGTTAAGAAAGCCAGGCAGAGAGAAGGGAAAGGGAGAAAGGCTGATAGAGAAAGCAGCTATTAAGAGGATAAAGAGGAAATCTATGCAAAGATATAGCAAGAAAAGAAAAAGGAAGGAAACTGGGAGGAAACTGACTAAGGTAAAGAAGAAATAGAGAGTGGCAAAGAGGCTCAAAATTATCACCCAGGAGGTATTTGCTATCAGTGCCTCCATAACACTTTATTAAACAACAACTCCTCACATCCCCCTCCACCCATCCCCTGGTAACCACTATTCTATTGACTAGTTCAGTGGATATAAAGTTATACAAGTGAGTAAGCTCCAGATATCTGCAATACAACATGGTGCCTACAGTTAACGATGGAGTATTGTGCACTTAAAAATTTGTTGAGAGTAGATCTCACGTTAAGTGTTCTTACCACAAAACAACAAAACAAAACACACAAAGCGACACAAGGAAACTTTTAGAGGTGATGGATGTGTTTATTAACTGAATTGTGGTGATGGTAACATAAGTATATACATATGCCCAAACTCACTAAATTGTGTATGCGAATTATATACATCTCTATTTGTACATTTATTATAGTTGAATAAAGCTGGAAAAAATAAGACATTATACCTTAAAAACACACTTTATTACACAATAAGTTTAATTATTCTTCTCATGAAGAATAATGCTGGAGAAAAAGCTGGTTTGAAATCTGGTTCTGCTGTCTACCATTGGTGTGGCCACACAGAACTTCCATGACCTCTTCAGGTTTCAGTTTCCTCACATGTTAAATAAGAATGGGTAGTACTTGGCCAGGTATTGGTAAGGACAAAACAAGATAACAAGGCAGTATTAATAGCAAGGCAGAGTGAGTTTGAATCCCATCTTCTAGCTGGGTGACCATAAGCAAGTTACTAAGCTGTCTATGCTTGGTTTCTTTCTTCAGGACAGGGATAATAAAAATAATGCCTATGCACATGTGCCTGCTATAAGGACTGACTGGCAAATAAATGTTTTAAAACATGAAGAACAGTGTCTTGGTACTTGGTGATTACTCAATAAAATGTTGGCTCTTAGGAATGAGAGTAGGTGCTCAAGGGATGGGACTGATGGTGACATCTCCTTCACAGGAGGGTGGACACCATTTTTGTTTTTCTTTTTTTTTTTTAATCCTGCTGTCTTACTGGTAAGCACTGTAAGCCCTTGGTGAAAGTGTATTGTGCCATCAGAAATGATAGGAAGCTTTTCTCTCACACCTTTATTTGTTGTGTGCATTCCTCTATTAACGACACTTACCTTTGCCTCGTGTAATGCTGATTAGATGATTATGTAGGTTTTTGACTGCTCTTTTCTTTGAAAAATATTTTTCATTGCGTAAGAAATATATGAATACCTTCTCTTGGTTTTAAAAAAAGTGTATAAGGCTAAAATCAACTTCTAAGTTGAAACTCTATTCTAGATTCTTCCCCAAGGGCAACCTTTACATTGATTTTGATGATTATTCATTCATGCCTTATGTTTTACATATATATGAATTTACATGTATGTAACTATGTCATTAGGGTTCCACCAGATAAATAGATTCTTTTCATGTCCATGTGATCAGTAATTATTACCCCTCTTTCATATCTGATATTAGTAATTTGCATTTTCTCTTTTTTCCTTGGTTTCTGGCTAGAGGTTTATCAATTTTATTAATCTTTTCAAATAGCCAGCTTTTGGTTTTGTTGACTTTCTCTATTGATTTCCTGGTTCCAGTTAATTAATTTCTGCTCCAAATTTTATTATTTCTTTTCTTCTGCTTGCTTTATGTTTATATTGCTTTTCCTCTAGTTTCTTGAGGTGGAAGCTTATATTATTGATTATAGATTCAATGCATTCAATGCTAAAATATTCCCTCTAAGCACTGCTTTTGCTGCATTCTACAAATCTCGACAAGTTGTATTTTCATTTTTATTCAGTTCAAAACATTAACAAATTTCTCTTAAGACTTAAATCCATGTTTTATTTAGAAGTCTATTGTTTAATCTCCAAATACTTAGGAATTTTCTAGTGCTCTTTCTGTTATCGATTTCTACTTTATTTCTTGGTGGTCTAAGAGGATATAGGAATGATTTCTATTATTTTAAATTTGTTTAACTGTTTTTATGGCCCAGAATTTGGTCTGCCTTGGTGACTGTTCCATGTGAACTTGGGAATAATGTATATCCTGCTGTTGTTGAATGAAACAATCTATATATGTCAATTAGATCCAGTTCATTGATGGCTCTGTTCAGTTCAATTTTATCCTTAACTGCTTTTCTGCCTGTTGGATCTGTCCATTTCTGATAGAGCTTCCTTTGGTTGGTGTAACATGGTATATTTTTCTCCATCCCTTTACTTTTAAAATGAGCCTTTTAACTTAGACTGAGTTTTCTGTAGACAACATACTGTAGGATCTTGTTTGTTCATCCATTCTGACAGTCTTTGTCTTTTAATCAGTATAGTTAGACCATTGAAATTTAAAGTGATTATTGATATAGTTGGATTAATATCAACCATATTTGTTAGTGTTTTCTATTTGTTACCCTGTTCTTTGTTTTTCTATTTCCTGCTCTTTTTCCTGCCATCTTTGGTTTTAATTGAGCAATTTATATGATTCCCTTTTCTCTCCTCTTATAGAATATCAGTAGTACTTCTTTCAAAAAATGTTTAAGGGGTTGCCCTAGAGTGTGCAATATACATATACAGTTAATCCAAGTTCACTTTAAAATAACACTATACTGCTCCATGGGTAGTGCAAATACCTTATAACATAGTATTCTCAATTTCCCCCTCTTGTCCCAACACTGCTATCATCTATTTCACTTATCCATAAGCTATAATTACCAAATACATTGTTGCTATTACTATTTTGAACAAACTGTTATTGGTTATATCAATTAAAAATTTGAAAAATAAAAGATTTTAGTTTCATTTATACCTTCTTTAATACTCTTCCTTTCTTGTAGATCCATGTTTCTGAATTATGTCATTTTCCTTCTTTCTAAAAAACTTCTTTTAGGGTTTCTTGCAAGGTAAGTCTACTGGCAACAAATTCCCGCCATTTTCGTTAGTCTGAGAAAGTCTTCATTTCTCCTTCACTTTTGAGGGATAATTTTAATAGACACAAAACTGTAGGTTGGTAGGGGCTCCTCCTTCCACACCCACCATGCCAAAACTTTAAAATTTCACCCCACTCTATTCTTGCTTGCAATGGTTTCTGATGGTAAATCTGTGTAATTCTATTTTTTTTCTTCTATAGGTAAGGTGTTTTCCCCTCTGGCTTCTTTCAAGATTTTCTCTTTGTCTTTAATATTCTACAGTTTGAATATCATATGCCTAAGTATAGTTCTGGTTTGGTTTGGTTTCTGGTTTTGTAGGGTCAGGGGAGTTGGCATTTATCCTGCTTGGTATTCTCTGAGCTTCCTAGAGCTATGATTTGGTGTCTGTTATTAATTTTAGAAAATTCTCAGCCATAATTACCCCAACTATTTCTTCTACTCTTTTTTCTTTGTATTGCTTTTGGCATTCTCATTATAAATATATTACAACTTTTGTAATTACTGGATTATTGTTCTCAAATATACTATTCTTTTATTTTCATTCTTTTTTTTCTCCTTGATTTTCAGTTTGAAAAGTTTCTATGAACACATCTTCAAGCTTTCTT
Organism: Homo sapiens; assembly: GCF_000001405.40. Classification (NCBI taxonomy): domain Eukaryota; kingdom Metazoa; phylum Chordata; class Mammalia; order Primates; family Hominidae; genus Homo; species Homo sapiens. The sequence goes on along the minus strand of NC_000007.14, from coordinate 112,703,787 downwards.
TGGTGATATCCAGTCTACTGATGAACCCATCAATGGCATCTTTATTTCTTTTATACTGTTTTCTATTTATAGCATTTTCTTTTTATTCTTTCTTAGTGCTTCCATCTCTCTGCTTATACTACTTATCTATTCTTACATATTGTATACTTTTTTATACTTTTTCCATTAGACCCCTGATATGGTTAGGCTTTATGTCCCCACTGAAATATCATCTGGAATTGTAATCCCCATAATCCCCATTTGTCTAGGGAGAGAGCTGGTTGGCGGTGATTGAATCATAGGGGGCAGTTTCCCCCATGCTGTTCTCATGGTAGTGAATGAGCTATCATGAGATCTGCTGCTTTTATAAGAGGACCTTCCCCTTTCATTACTCACTCTTTTCTGATGCCAAGCTCTTCCCAGGGTTCTCTACGTCATGGTCGTTACCTGGGAGTCTGCCCTACTCTCCAAGGTGCTTTACCGACCAAGAGGAAGAAAACTCCTGTGCCCCTGCAGTGTTATTGTTTGTACCCTCAGAATTTGAAGTGTCTTATTTCTAAATTTTCAAGTAATCAGAATAGAGTCCAATCGATACATGCATGTATATGTTTAACAATAAATAACTTGCTATTTCTGGCATTCAAGGGTGGTCACCAACTAAAGTCTTCAACATAAGGCAAGTATAGGGGAACAGGTTACAAAGTAATATGGAATATCTTCTGCCTAGAAAAATAGGTAGGAAAATGTATGAGTATTTGTTTAAGCATCTGTTTAATAAACTCGATATCCTAGTCCCTTTGTTTTGTTTGTTTGTTTGTTTGAGAAAAAGTCTCATTCTATTGCCCAGGCTACAGTGCAGGGGCACAATCTCCACTCACTGCAACTTTCACCTCCTGGGTTCAAGAGATTCTCCTGCCTCAGCCTCCCGAGTAGCCGGGATTACAGGTGTCCACCATCACACCCGGCTAATTTTTGTATTTTTAGTACAGACGAGTTTTCGCCATGTTGGCCAGGCTGGTCTCTAACTCTTGACCTCAAGTGATCTGACCTCAAGTGAGGCTGCCATCTCAGCCTCCTAAAGTGCTGGGATTACAGGCGTGAGCCACTGCACCCAGCCCCTTTGTTTTATAAGTAAATTTCGCTTCTTCTTTAACATGAAAGAATTTTAGTTCTATATAAATTAGGTAGCCTCCTTAGAATAATGCAACTTTAAAATAAATCTAAAGGTTGTATTAACTGTGATCTTTTTGACTTTGGTATATGGTTTCCTAGAAAATAATTTTTAAAAAAGATCTGTGTAGTCATTTAAATACTTAGCACTGATGGGTAAGATGAGAGAGTTTATCATCAGTGGATATAGTTAGGCTTTCTTCCTGAAAACTATGATTCTCTTTTCAAAATAAATTTTTATCTTCAGTTGAACCAAGAAGGAAAATTTCCTTATCTCTTCCAACCACTAAGAGAGAAAAAAATTCTAAAAGTAATACATTATTACCAGCACTAGAAAATAAAAAAAGAGGATAAGAACATTTGAGAAATACCTGAAAAGTAAAAAGCAGGCAGGATAAGATCTCTGGGAAAATATAGGAAATGACAGCCCAAAATAAGCCCCAAACAGTAGATTGCTGCAGCTATAGTGATAGTTTCAGAGAAACTTCAAGTTCAGGATCATAGGACACAAAGAATGAAAGGAAATCATGGGGCTAATTTTAGAGTGGCCAAATGGGTCTCTGCAGGTGGAACACTGCCCCCTCCTCTGCTTCCTCTTGCTGAACAGTGTGTGTCTCCTAGCTGGGGAAGTCTTTTGGGGTTTTTCTGTTTTGTTTTGTTTTGTTTTGTTTTGTTTTGTTTTAGAAACAGGGTCTGTTCTGTCACCCAGGCTGGAGTGCGGTCGTACAATCATAGCTCACTACAGCCTCGAACTCCTGGCCTCAAGCAATTCTCCTGCTTTTGCCTCCCAAAGTGCTGGGATTACAGGCATGAGCCGCTGCACCTGACCCTGTTTGTTTTTTTGAAGTTGATGAGTGATATCTTCCTATAGACTGAAATACAACTATCCCTCCAGTATCAGTGAGACAAGGCGGTGCCCCAGTAAGTTTTACTGTTTTACTGCTAGTATTACTGCCTATCACCCCTCCAGGAAATGAGTCTCACACCCAAAGATCAATTGTGGCACGCCCTTTTCAGCATGTCTTGCCCTTCCCCCACAATGACCAGAGGCAGCCTAAATAGAATAGCCAGACTGTCAGGTTGAAAGGTGTGAGGAGGTAGCACTATTCACATTCCTCCTGATTCCATGTGAAGTTACTTTGGCTAGACTAACATGGCCTCCTCTATGCCATATTGCCCACATATTTTTTCCATGACTTACCCAATTGACTTAGTGTCTGTTTAGCGATAAGGAATTCCTATTTGCTTCCTGTGAATAGTATTTCTACAAACCTTTTAAAATAAAACAAAATGATATCAATAAACTAAAGTCAGAGTCAGTCAAGTACAGCATAAAGATGTGAAGAATAGCAGAGTTAAGCAATAGTTGGTTTTTGTCTCCTTTTAAAATGAGTTTGCTCAGGGGACATACAAATCTAAATTATTCCCAGCTTCTCTAACCATATCCAAGGGGTGTATCAGTCTGTCTATTCATTACTCTTTATATCTATCTGGAGGATAATATTCTGCTTTATCTAGCAGGCAACTAATCTGAGTGAGACAATTTACAAGATTTGGGATTCACTAGTCAAGAAAACGCTTAAATATCTCTGGTGACACAGAGCTTTGCTAGACCCCTGTCTGACCAAGAGATCTTCATGCTGTCTTAGGGTAACCTTGGGAGTCAAGAAGACATGATATGCTCATGCTAGACTAATGTTTGTTTTTCCATGGGGTCCCCAGCTTTCCGAGGCCAAGCTCTTCCCAGGTTTTCTCTACTTGATGGTCCTTACCTGGGAGTCCGCCCTACTCTCCAAGTTGCTTTACCAACCAAGAGGAAGAGAACTTCTGTGTCCCTGCAGTATTGTTTGTACCCTTAGTATTTAAAGTGTCTTATCTCTAAATTTCCAAGTAGTCAGAGTCCAATCGATACATGTATGTGTATGTTTAACAATAAATAACCTGCTGCTTCTGGCATTCAAGGGTGGTCACCAACTAAAGTCTTCAGCGTAAGGCAAGTATAGGGGAACAAGCCACCAAAGTGAAGTAGTTATGCATATTAAACATTTGATGATATGTCCGACAGGGAGCCATAAAGATCCTATTGCAGTCTGGTTACCAGTCTCAACTGGAATGTGTCCATGGACCAGAGGACAAATTTCATTTAAGAGAAACAACAGAAGGTAACACAACCAAGATCCATTGCTTTTTAGTTTCTCTAATCCTAATTCCTGCCTTTGAAGTTCAGCAAATTATTTTATCTTATTTAAGAGCTCCTTTTAAGATAATCACACAAATGATAAATGCACATAATCACCTCGCCCAAGCCAGCATATCAATGCATTTGTGCAGTGCAATCAATTCTCCAAATGCTTCCCCTATCTTGCTTTCATTCCTTATCAAATGATCCTTTCAAAAAAAAAAAAAGTGTAGCCTGAGGAGAGTAAGGAGACTACGTGGAGGAAAACTGTGAACCTCAAGAATTAGGTTCACAGAAAGAAAATTAAAAGGTAGATGGCTAGATTTTAGGGATTACATGTTAGGATTAAACAATGCCCCCTAAAATGCTTGATAATAATCTGGTAAATTTGAAAGTCTCTAATGATAATTTGGTAAGCTCTCCGCCAGAGTGGCCCCTGAGGTCATGACTGCTTATGCTCCTGCAGTGGCCACTGATGGTAGGAGCCATATTTTGATGTCTGAAGGGTGAAGGTGACTTTCACAAGAGGGTATTTGTATTAGTCTGATAGGGTTGTCATAACAAAGTGCCACAGCTTGGGCAGTTTAAGCAACAGAAATTTACTTCCTCATATCTGTGAAGCTTAAAATTCCACAGGGAATTTTAACCTTTGGCAGGGTTGGTTTCTTCAAAAGGCTTTTCACCTTGACGAGATGGTCATTTTTCCTTGTGTCTCCACATGTCATCTCTCTGTGCATGCCTGTGTTCTAATCTCCTCTTCTTATAGGGACATCCTTAATGTTGTATTAGGGCCCACCGATATGACTTTTTTACCTTAATTACATCTTTAAAGGCCCTGTCTTCAGAAACAGTCACATTCTGAGGTATTGAGGATCAGAATTTTAACATATGAATTTGAGGGGGATGCAATTCAGCTCTACTCCAAATTTCTTTGTACCTTTATCCATCCAGTTTTCTTTCCTTTGTTTCTTTTCTCTGAGGTCCTTCCATCTGCCCAAAGCCAATTCCTCTATGTTTGTGTTTGCTTCTATGGCCAGGCAGGAGAGTCACTTGAACCCAGGAGGCGGAGGTTGTGGTGAGCCAAGATTGTGCCATTGCACTCCTGCCTGGGCGACAGAGTAAGACTCCGTCTCAAAAAGAAAAAAGAGAAAGTTTATTCAAAGGAATAACAACAGAGAACTCCCCAAACCCAAAGAAAGTTATCAATATCCAAGTACAAGGAGGTTATATTACATCAAGCAGATTTAACCCAAAAAAGACTACTTCAAGGCATTTAATAATCAAACGCCCAAAGGTCTCTTGCATGTAAAAGCAGCAAGAGAAAAGAAACAAGTAATATATAATGAAGGTCCAATATGCCTGGCAACAAACTTTTCAGTGGAAAATTTATAGGCCAGGAGAGAATAGCATGATGTATTCAAAGTGCTGAAGGAAAAAACTTTACCCTAGAATAGTATATCTGGTGAAAATATTCTTCAAACATGAAGATGAAATAAAGATTTTCCCAGATAAACAAAAGCTGGGGGATTTCATCAATATCAGACCTGCCCTATAAGAAATGCTAAAGGGAGTACCCCAATCAGAAGGAAAAGGACATTAATGAGCAATAAGTAATCACCTGAAACTACAAAACTCACTGGTAATGGTAAATACACAGAAAAACACAGAATATTATAACACTGTAACTGTAGTGTGTAAACTTATCATAAGTAGAAAGACTAAAAAATGAACCAATCAAAAATAATAACTACAACTTTCCAAGACATAGTACAATATGATATAAATAGAAAAAAACAGATAGTTAAAAAGCTGGGGGGTTGGGATGAAGCTCAGGGCAGAGTTTTTATAAGTTTTCCTTTTACTTGTTTGTTTATGTGAACAGTGTTAAGTTGTTATCAGGTTTAAATAATTGGTTGTAAGATAGTATTTGCAAGCCTCATGGTAACCTCAAACCAAAAAACATAACAATAGATACACAAAAATTAAAAGCAAAAAACTAAATCATATTATCAGAAAAAATCACCTTCACTAAAGCAAGACAGGAATGAAAGAAAGAAAGAAGACCACAATACAATCAGAAAAACAAACAGAAAAATGCCAGGAGTAAATTCTTACTTATTAATAATAACATTGAATTTAAATGGACTAAACTCTCCAATCAAAAGGCTGAATGGATGAAAAAACAAGACTCATTGATCTGTTTTCTACAAGAAACACACTTTACCCATAAGAACAAACACAGACTGAAAATAAAGGGATGGAAAAAGGTATTCCATGCCAATGTAAACCAAAAAAGAGTAGGGTAGCTATATACTTATATCAAACAAAATAGATTTTAAGACAAAAACTGTAAGAGTCTCCCTCTCCCTCTCCCTCACCCCCCCTCCCCTCCTCCTCCCCCTCCCTCTCCCTCTTCCCACGGTCTCCCTCTCCCTCTCTCTCCACGGTCTCCCTCTGATGCCAAGCGGAAGCTGGACTGTACTGCCGCCATCTCCGCTCACTGCAACCTCCCTGCCGGATTCTCCTGCCTCAGCCTGCCCAGTGCCTGGGATTGCAGGCGCGCGCTGCCACGCCTGACTGGTTTTCATATTTTTCTGGTGGAGACGGGGTTTCGCTGTGTTGGCCGGGCTGGTCTCCAGCTCCTAACTGCGAGTGATCTGCCAGCCTTGGCCTCTCGAGGTGCCGGGATTGCAGACGGAGTCTCGTTCACTCAGTGCTCAATGTTGCCCAGGATGGAGTGCAGTGGCGTGATCTTGGCTGGCTACAACCTCCACCTTCCAGCCGCCTGCCTTGGCCTCCCAAAGTGCTGAGATTGCAGCCTCTGCCCGGCCACCACCCTGTCTGGGAAGTGAAGAGCGTCTCGCCTGGCTGCCCATCGTCTGGGATGTGAGGAGCCCCTCTGCCTGGCTGCCCAGTCTGGGAAGTGAGGAGCGCCTCTTCCCGACCGCCATCCCGTCTGGGAAGTGAGGAGCGTCTCTGCCCGGCCGCCCATAGTCTGAGATGTGGGGAGCGCCTCTGCCCTGCCGCCCCGTCTGGGAAGTGAGGAGCCCCTCCGCCCGGCAGCCGCCCTGTCCGGGAGGGAGGCGGGGGGCAGCCCCCGCCCAGCCAGCCGCCCCATCCGGGAGGGAGGCAGGGGGCAGCCCCCGCCCGGCCAGCCGCCCTGTCCGGGAGGGAGGTGGGGGGTGCCTCCGCCCGGCCGCCACCCCGTCCAGGAGGTGGGGGGCGCCTCTGCCCAGCTGCCCCTTCTGGGAAGTGAGGAGCCCCTCTGCCTGGCCACCACCCCGTCTGGGAGGTGTACCCAACAACTCATTGAGGATGGGCCATGATGATGATGGTGGTTTTGTCGAATAGAAAAGGGGGAAATGTGGGGAAAAGATAGAGAAATCAGATTGTTGCTGTGTCTGTGTAGAAGAAGTAGACATAGGAGATTCCATTTTGTTCTGTACTAAGAAAAATTCTTCTGCCTTGGGATGCTTTAATCTATAACCTTACCCCCAACCCCGTGCTCTCTGCAACATGAGCTGTGTCCACTCAGGGTTAAATGGATTAAGGGCGGTGCAAGATGTGCTTTGTTAAACAGATGCTTGAAGGCAGCATGCTCGTTAAGAGTCATCAACCACTCCCTAATCTCAAGTATCGAGGGACACAAACACTGCGGAAGGCGGCAGGGTCCTCTGCCTGGGAAAACCAGAGACCCTTGTTCACTTGTTTATCTGCTGACCTTCCCTCCACTATTGTCCTGTGACCCTGCCAAATCCCCCTCCTAGAGAAACACCCAAGAATGATCAATAAATACTAAAAAAAAAAAAAAAAAAAAAGCTGTTGGCAACTCAGTATTACATATACAGATGGATGTGGCTCAACAAGAATTTAGACAAAAATATTGAACTGTAACGTGTTGCCATGATTTAGTCTCTAATGAGGTTATAAATAAATCCATATTTCAGCACATATAAAAAAAAACTATAAGAGACAAAGAAGGTCACTATATAATGATAAAGGGGTCAATTAAGCAAGAGGATATAACAGTTTTAAATATATATCCACCCAATGCTGGAGCACCCAGATACATAAAGACAATATTATTAGAGATAAAAAGAGATACCCCAATACAATAATAGCTGGAGACTTCAACACCCCACTTTCAGCATTGGAAAGATCGTCCAGACAGAAATTCAACAAAGAAACATCAGATGAAATCTGCATTATAGACCAAATGGATCTAATAGATATATACAGAGCATTTCATCCAAGAACTGCAGAATACACATTCTTTTCCTCAGCACATGGATCATTCTCAAAGATAGACTATAATTTAGATCAGAAAACAAGTCTTAAAACATTCAAAAAAAACCTGAAATAATATCAAGCATCTTCTCTGACCACAATGGAATAAAACTAGAAATCAATAACCAGAAGGCTTTTGGAAACTATACAAATACATGGAAATTAAACAATATGCTCCAGAATAACCAGTGGGTTAATGAAGGAATTAAAAAGGAAATTGAAAAATTTCCTTTTCATTTATCATTTAAATGATAATGGAAACGTAACATACCAAAATCTACAGGATACAGTAAAACCTGTACCAAGAGGGAATTTTATAGCTATAAGTGCCTACATTAAAAAAACAGAAAAAAAACTTCAAATGAACACCGAACGATACATCTTAAAGATCAAGAAAAGCAAGAGCAAACCAAACCTAAAATTAGTACAAAAAAATAAATAATAAAGATGTGAGAAAAAACAAATGAAATTGAAATAAAAAATACAAAAGATCAATGAAACAAAAAGATGTTTTGAAAAGTTTAACAAAATTGACAAACTTTTAGCCAGACTAATTAAGAAAAAAAGAGAGATGATACAAACAAATAAAATCAGAAATGAAAAATGAGACATTACAGCTGGTATCGCAAAAGTTCAAAGAATCATTAGTGGGTACTATACACAACTATATGCTAATAAATTGGAAACTCCAGGAGAAATGGGCAAATTCCTAGATACATACAACCTATGAAAAGTGAACCAAGAAGAAATCCAAAACCTCAATAGACTGATAACAAGTAACATGATTGAAGCCATAATAAAAAGTCTCCCAGTAAAGAAAAGCCCAGGACCTGATGGCTCCTCTGCTAAATTCTACCAAACATTTAATGGAGAATTAATACCAATTCTACTCAAACTATTCTGAAAAATGATTTTTCAGAAAAATAGAGTAGGAGAAATACTTCCAAACTCACTCTAGAAGGCCAGTATTACCTTGATACCAAAACCAGACAAAGACACGTCAAAAAAGAATAGGCTAATATCTCTGAAGAATATTGATGCAAAAATTCTCAGCAAAATACCAGAAAACTGAATTCAACAATACATTAGAAAGATCACTCATCATGACCAAGAGGGATTTATCCCTGAGAAGCAAGGATGGTTCAACATAGGCAAATTAATCAATGTGTTATAGCATATTAACAGAATGAAGGATAAAAACCATATGATCATTTCAATTGATGCTGAAAAAACATTTGATAAAATTCAACATTCCTTCATGATAAATCCCCCTCTCCCCCCCCAAAAAAAACAGTATAGAAGGAAAATACCTCAACGTAATAACTATATACAACAGACCCACATATAATATCATACTGAATAGAGAAAAATTGAAAGTCTTTCCTCTAAGATTTGCAACATGACATGGATGCCCACTGTCACCACTATTATTTAACATAGCACTGGAAGTCCTAACTAGAGCACTCAGACAAGAGAGGCATCCAAGCTGGAAAGGAAGAAGTCAAATTATCCTTGTTTGCAGATGATATGATCTTATTTTTGGAAAAACCTAAAGACTCCACAAGAAAATTATTAGAACTGATATATTCAGTAAAACTGCAGAATACAAAACCAACATACAAAAATCAGTAGCATTTGTATATGCCAACAGTGAACAATGTGAAAAAGAAAAAAAAGTAACTCCATTTGCAGTAGCCACACATAAAATTAAATACCTGGGAATTAATCAAAGAAGTGAAAGAGCTCTATGAAACAGTGATGAAAAAAATTGAAGAGGATACCAGAAAATGGAAAAATATTTCATGTTAATGGATTGGAAGAATGAATATTTTTAAAATGTCCATACTACCCAATGCAATCTACAGATTCAATGCAATTACTATCAAAATACCAATGACAGTCTTCACAGAAATGGAAAAAACAATCCTAAAATTTATATAGAACTACAAAAGACCCAGAATAGCCAAAGCTATCCTCAGCAAATAAACAAAACTGGAGGAATCATGTTACCTGATTTCAAATTATACTACAGAGCTACAGTAACCAAAACAGCATTGTACTGGCATAAAAACAGACACATAGGCCAATGGAACAGAATAGAGAACCCAGAAACAAATCCACACACCTACAGTGAACTCATTTTTGAAAAGGTGCCAAGAACATACGCTGGGGAAAAGACAGTCTCTTCCATGAATGATGCTAGGAAAACTGGATATCCATATGCAGAAGAATGAAACTAGACCCCTATCTCTCACCATATACAAATATTAATAAAAATGGATTAAAGACTTAAATCTAAGACCTCAAACTATGAAACTACTACAAGAAAACATTGGGGAAAATCTCTAGGACACTGGTCTGGGCAAAGAATTCTTGAGCAATACCCCACAAGCACAGGCAACCAAAGCAAAAATGGACAAATGGGATCACATCAAGTTAAAAAGCTTCTGCACAGCAAAGGAAACAGTCAACAAAATGAGGAGACAACTCACAGAATGCAAGAAATATTTGCAAACTACCCATCTGACAAGGAATTAATAACCAGAATATGTAAAGAGCTCAAACAACTCTACAGGAAAAAATATTTAATAATCTGATCAAAACATGGGCAAAAGATTTGAATAGATATTTCTCAAAAGAAGACATAAATGGCAAGCAGGCATATGGAAAGGTGCTCAACATCACTGATCACAGAGACATGCAAATCAAAACTAAAATAAGATTTCATTTCACCCCGGTTAAAATGGCTTTTATCCAAAAGAGAGGCAATAACAAATGCTGGATAGGATGTGAAGAAAAAGGAACCCTTGTACAATGTCAGTGGAAATGTAAATTAGTACAACGACTATGGAGAATAGTTTGGAGGTTCCTCAAAAAACTAAAAATTGAGCTACCATATGATCCAGCAATCCCACTCCTTGGTGTATATCCAAAAGAAAGGAAATCAGTATATCAAAGAGATATCTGCACTCCCATTTGTGTCAGCACTGTTCACAATAGCTAAGATTTGGAAGTAACCTAAGTGTCCATCAACAGATGAAAGGATAAAGAAAACGTGGTACATATAAACAATGGAGTACTATTCAGCCATAAAAAAGAATGAGATCCGGTCATTTGCAACAACATAGATGAAACTGGGGATCATTAAGTGAATTAAGCCAGGCACAGAAATACAAATATCACATGTTCTCAATTATTTGTGGGATCTAAAAATTAAAACAATTGAACTCATGGACAGAGAATAGAAGGATGGTTACCAGAGGCTGGGAAAGGTAGTGGGGAGTATGGGGGGGAGGTGGGGATGGTTAATGGGTACAAAAAGTAGAATGAATAAGACCTACTATTTGATAGCATAAGAGGATGACAATAGTCAATAATAACTTAATTGTACATTGTTAAGTAACTTTAAGAGTGTTATTGGATTGTTTTTAACTAAAAAGATAAATGTTTGAGGGTATAGATACCCCATTCTCCATGAATAAAAAAACAACAAGAAAAAACCGAGACTGGCACTGCTGACATTTTCCTGAAGCAGTTCCCACTCTTTGCTCTGGCCATGCCTATTCTTGGCTCTCCTCTCACAGCTCAGCTCTTGACCTACTCTTCACCCTGTGGTCTCTCAGTTGGTGACCTTAACTGCTCTAATGGCTTCAATAAAAACCTCTGTTCAAATATTTACCAAATCAATATAATTTGCTTTGACCTAAGCTGCTGACCCACGTTATCAACTGCTCTCTAAGTAGCTCCACTTGGGTGCATGACTGGCACCATCCACACACCATGAGCAACACCAAATTAATCATTTCTCCCTAATACCCACATATTTTCAACAAACAAATTGAAATTTTTAAAAAGCAAGAGGGAAATAAAAGGGAAACCTACAGATTCAAATAGATTTAAGAGACATATCAGCCTTGTAGATTACATGTTGAACCTGATTCAAACAAGCTGGAAAAAATTGTAATACAAACAGGAAAATTTGAACACTACATAGAATTATAGTTCAATTTGTTTAGGTGTGATAATGGTATTAAGTTATGGTTTTTAAAAGTCCATTTTTCTTGAGATACATGCTAAAATATTTATGGATGAAAGATGTGATGTCTGAGAGTTTTCTTCACAGTAACATGGCAGAAAAGGGAGGGGGGGTTATAAATGCCGTAAGACTAGACATGAAGCTGGTAGTGCCTACCTACAGGTTCATGCACATACTTTTTTCTACTTAGGCATTTGTTTAAAGTTTTCTATGATAAAAAGGCTGAAAATTTTTTTTAAAAGATCAAAAAGTCAATTAAATTTAAAAACCTATATGTCTTCTCACTCTCCTAATTTTGACCGATTCTTCTTTTTCATCTGTGTTATTTCACTATTCTTTGCCTTCTCCCTACAACCCCAAACACATAGGAACTGTGTTAAGCCCAGTTTGTTTTCCTTCTAAAGCATACTTGGTTTCCTTCCTCCTTTTTTAATTTTTTTCTAATCATTCCCTAGGTGCACAGGACCTCATTTTCCTTCATCTGTGATAACTTCCTGTCTCCTAACCCTGTCTTTCCTAAGAGAATAGTTTATTCTAACCAGAACAAATATTATTGTAATCAGAATAAAATAATAGTGTAATTCCACTTGTATTTCCAGGCCACTCCTTAGAACAGACTTATTTTGAAAAAATAAAACGATCTGTGGCAGGACTAAATACCTAGAATGAAGCATGAAATGACTCTGGCTTTGGGGTGGTCGGGGAGAGAACGGGGAAAGAGGCTTGGGACTTGATTTGCTATTTCATTCCAAACTTGGGTTACATTTTTCTAATAATTGTTAACTAGGCAGAGACAACTGAGTGCACTGGTTAAGAGCCAGACAGTCTCTTAGTTCCATGCCTCAGTTCCCTCCAAAGTAAAATGAAAAAATAATTGTACTTATCCCAAGGGTTATTATGAGGACTAATTGAGCTAATATTTATAAAGTGTTTAAAATAGTGCCTGGTACATAGTAAACACTATATAAAGCTGATGAACTATAACTTCTTTGACAAATTAGTAAATCCTCCCCTTAAAGACAAAAATTGCCACACCACATTGGTTTTTAGAATATTCTCTTTTAAAAATAACCCTCACTCAGGTTGTGAGGTTTTTTCCTAGGTCTTCAAAGATGGGTGCATTCCCAGGACGTGCATAAGATGATTTGGGGGGAGGGTGTGCAGAAGAAAAGACATCTCTTCATATTTTTGTTCTTAAAAATAATACATTAGGCTTTTTGTGTTAATTATTCAGAGATACTCTGGAGCCCCCATTCTTTCTACATGTGAGTCTGTCAAAATGGAAGGAAGACATCTTAAAGGAAGAATAAATGTTCTATAACGTGGTTGGGGAGCAGGGTGTAATAGTTGTGTTTATCCTCATTTTTTTAGCTTTCAGTGTGTTGAATATATTATAGTTATGTGTGCCAGAAAAAGGAGTTTACAGATTATAATTTTAATGAAACTTACCTTTACAAAATAAATAAACAGCTTTAAAAGATTTCTGCAAAGAAAACAGGAAATAGGAAAAATGACAGTTCAAGATGGCTGAATAGGAACAGCTCCAGTCTGTAGCTTCCAGCAAGATCAGCGCAGAAGGTGGCTGATTTCTGCATTACCAACTGAGGTACCCAGGTCATCTCATTGGGACTGGTTAGACAGTGGGTACAGCACACAGAGGGCGAGCTGAAGCAGAGTGGGGCATCACCTCACCCAGGAAGCACAAGGAGTCGGGGAACTCCCTCCCCTACCCAAGGGAAGCTGTGAGGGACCCTGCCGTGAGAAACGGTGTGTTCTGGCCCAGATACTGTACTTTTCCCATGGTCTTCACAATCCACAGACCAGGAGATTCCCTTGGGTGCCTACACCACCAGGGACCTGGGTTTCAAGCACAAAACTGGGTGGTGATTTCGGCAGACACTGAGCTAGCTGCACGAGTTTTTTTCATATCCTAGTGGCACCTGAAATGCCAATGATTCAGAACCATTCACTCCCCTGGAAAGGGGGCTGAAGCCAGGGAGCGAAGTGGTCTAGCTCAGCAAATCCCACCCCCATGGAGCCAAGCAAGCTAAGATCCACTGGCTTGAAATTCTTGCTGCCAGCAGAGCAGTCTGAAGTTGACTTGGGACACTTGAGCTTGGTGGAGGAAGGGGCATGCCATTACTGAGGCTTGAGTAGGCAATTTTCCCCTCACAGTGTAAACAAAGCCGCAGGGAAGTTTGAACTGGGCAGATCCCACTGCACCTCCACAAAGCTGCTGTAGCCAGACTGCCTCTCTAGATTCCTCCTCTCTGGGAAGGTCATCTCTGAAAGAAAGGCAGCAGCCCCAGTCAGGAGCTTATAGATAAAACTCCCATCTCCCTGGGACAGAGCACCTGGGGGAAGAGGCGGCTGTGGGCACAGCTTCAGCAGACTTACACATTCCTGCCTGCAGACTCTGAAGAGAGCAGCAGATCTCCCAGCACAGCAATTGAACTCTGCTAAGGAACATACTGCCTCCTTAAGTGGGTCGCTGACTCCTGTGCCTCCTGACAGGAAGACACCTCCCAGCAGGGGTCGACAGACACTTCATACAGCAGAGCTCTGGCTGGCATCTGGTGGGTGCCCTCTGGGATGAAGCTTCCAGAGGAAGGAACGGGCAGCAATCTTTGCTGTTCTGCAGCCTCTGCTGGTGATACCCAGGAAAACAGGGTCTGGAGTGGACCTCCAGCAAACTCCAGCAGAACTGCAGCAAAGGGGCCTGACTGTTAGAAGGAAAACTAACAAACAGAAAGGAATAGCATCAACATCAACAAAAGGACGTCCACACAGAAACCCCATCTGCAGGTCACCAACATCAAAGACCACGGATAAATCCATGAAGATGAGGAAAAACCAGCGCAAAAAGGATGAAAATTCCAAAAACCGGGAGGCTTCTTCTCCTCCGAAGGATCACAGTTCCTTACCAGCAAGGGAACAAAACTGGACGGAGAATGAGTTTGATGAATTGGCAGAAGTAGGCTTCAGAAGATGGGTAATAAACTCTTCTGAGCTAAAGGAGCATGTTCTAACCCAATGCAAGGAAGCTAAGAACCTTGAACAAAGGTTAGAGAAATTGCTAACTAGAATAACCAGTTTAGAGAACATAAATGACCCGAGGGAGCTGAAAAACAAAGCAGGAAAATTCATGAAGCATACACAAGTATCAATAACTGACTCGATCAAGCAGAAGAAAGGATATCAGAGATTGAAGATCAATTCAATGAAATAAAGTGAGAGGACAAGATTAGAGAAAAAAGAAAGAAAAGGAACAAACAAAGTCTTCAAGAGATATGGGAGTATGTGAAAAGACAAAACCTACATTTGATTGGTGTACCTGAAAGTGACAGGGAGAATGGAACCAAGTTGGAAAACACTCTTCAGGATATTATCCAGGAGAATTTCCCCCACCTGGTGAGACAAGTCAACATTCAAATTCAGGAAACACAGAGAACACCACAAAGACACTCCTCGAGAAGAGGAACCCCAAGACACAGAATCATCAGATTCACCAAAGTTGAAATGAATGAAAAAATGTTAAGGGCAGCCAGAGAGAAAGGTTGGGTTACCCACAAAGGGAAGTCCATCAGACTAACAGCGGATTTCTCAGCAGAAACCTTACAAGCCAGAAGAGAGTGGCGGCCAATATTCAACATTCTTAAAGAAAAGACTTTTCAACCCAGAATTTCACATCCAGCCAAACTAAGCTTCATAAGTGAAGGAGAAATAAAATCCTTTACAGATAAGCAAATGCTGACAGATTTTGCCATCACCAGGCCTGCCTTACAAGAGCTCCTGAAGGAAGCACTAGATGTGAAAAGGAAAAGCCAGTACCAGCCACTGCAAAAACATACCAAGTTGGAAAGCCCATCAACACTATGAAAAAACTGTATCAACTAATGGGCAAAATAACCAGCTAGCATCATAATGACAGGATCAAATGCACACATAACAATATTAACCTTAAATGTAAAGGGACTAAGTGGTCCAATTAAAAGACACAGACTGGCAAATTGGATAAAGAGTCAAGACTCATCAGTGTGCTGTATTCAGGAGACCCACCTCATGTGCAAAGACACACATAGACTCAAAATAAAGGGATAGAGGAATATTTACCAAGCAAATAGAACGAAAAAAAAAACAGGGGGTGCAATCCCAGTCTCTAGAAAGACTAGGAAGTCAAATTGTTTGCAGATGACTTGACTGTGTATTTAGAAAACCCCATCATCTCAGCCCCAAATCTCCTTAGCTGATAAGCAGCTTTAGCAAAGTCTCAGGATACAAAATCAACAGAGTTTAAACCAACAAAGATCAAAAAAGACAAAGAAGGGCATTACATAATGGTAAAGGAATCAACGCAACAAGAAGAGCTAACGATCAGGAATATATATGCACCCAATACAGCAGCACCCAGATTCATAAAGCAAGTTCTTAGAGACCTGCAAAGAGACTTAGATTCTCACACAATAATAGTGGGAGACTTTAACATCCCACTGTCAATGTTAGACAGATCAACAAGACAGAAAATTAACAAAGATATTCAGGACTTGAACTTAGCTCTGGACCAAGCAGACCTAATAGACATCTACAGAACTCTCCACCCCAAATCAACAGAATATACATTCTTCTCAGCACCACACCACACTTATTCTAAAATTGACCATGTAATTGGAAGCAAAACACTCCTCAGCAAATGCAAAAGAATAGAAATTATAACAAACAGTCTCTCAGACTACAGTGCAATCGAATTAGAACTCAGGATTAAGAAACTCACTCAGAACCACAAACTACATGGATACTGAACAACCTGCTGCTGTATGACTACTGGGTAAATAATAAAATTAAGGCAGAAATAAATAAGTTATTTGAAACCAATGAGAACAAAGACAAAATGTGCCAGAAACACTGGGACACAGCTAAAGCAGTATTTAGCAGGAAATTTATAGCACTAAATGCCCACAGGAATAAGCGGGAAAGATCTAAAATTGACACCCTAACACCACAATTGAAAGAACAAGAGAAGCAAGAGCAAACAAATTCAAAAGCTAGCAGAAAACAAGAAATAACCAAGATCAGAGCAGAACTGAAAGAGATAGAGACACGAAAAACCCTTCAAAAAATCAGTGAATTCAGAAGCTGGTTTTTTGAGAAGATTAAGAAAATGGATAGACCACCAGCCAGATTAATGAAGAAGAAAAAAAAGAAGAATCAAATGGACACGGTAAAAAATGACAAAGGGGATAGCACCACTGATGCCACAGAAATACAAACTACCATCAGAGAATACTATAAATACCTCTATGCAAATAAACTAGAAAATCTTGAAGAAATGGATAAATTCCTGGACACATACATCCTCCCAAGACTAAACCAGGAAAAAGTCAAATCCCTGATAGACCAATAACAAGTTCTGACATTGAGGCAGTAATTAATAGCCTACCAACCAAAAAAAGCCCAGGACCAGATGGAGTCACAGTTGAATTCTACCAGAGGTACAAAGAGGAGCTGGTAATATTCCTTCTGAAACTATTCCAAACAATATAAAAAGAGGGACTCCTCCCTAACTCATTTTATGAGGTCAGCATCATCCTGATACCAAAACCTGGCAGAGACACAACAATGAAAAAAGAAATTTCAGGCCAGTATCCCTGATAAACATCCATGAGAAAATCCTCAGTAAAATACTGGCAAACCGAATACAGCAGCACATCAAAAAACTTATCCACCACCATCAAGTCAGCTTCACCCCTGGGATGCAAGGCTGGCTCAACATGCACAAATCAATAAACATAATCCATTACATAAACAGAACCAATGACAAAAACCACATGATTATCTCAATAGATGCAGAAAAGTCCTTTGATAAAATTCAACACCCCTTCATGCTAAAAACTCTCAATAAACTAGGTATCAATGACATGTAGGTCAAAATAATAAGAGCTATTTACGACAAACACACAGCTAATATCATACTGAATGGGCAACAGCAGGAAATATTCTCTTTGAAAACCCACACAAGACATGGTTGCCCTCTCTCACCACTCCTATTCAACATAGTATTGGAAGTTCTGGCCTGGGCAATCAGGCAAGAGAAAGAAATAAAGGGTATTCAAATAGGAAGAGAGGGAGTCAAATTGTCTACATGCAGATGACATGATTGTATATTTAGAAAACCCCATCATCTCAGCCCAAAATCTCCTTAAGCTGATAAGCAACATCAGCAAAGTCTCAGGATACAAAATTAAAGTGCAAAATCACAAGTATTCCTATACACCAATAATAGCCAAATCATGAGTGAACTCCCATTCACAATTGTTACAAAGAGAATAAAATACCTAGGTATACAACTTACAAGGGATGTGAAGGACCTCTTCAAGGTGAACTACAAACCACTGCTAAAGGAAATAAGAGAGGACACAAACAAAGGGAAAAACATTCCATGCTCATGGATAGGAAGAATCAATGTTGTGACATACTGCCAAAGTAATTTATAGATTCAATGCTATTCCCATCAAGCTACCATTGACTTTCTTCACAGAATTAGAAAAAACTACTTTAAATTTCATATGGAACCAAAAAACAGCCTGTATAGCCAAGACAATCCTAAGCAAAAAGAAGAAAGCTGGAGGCATCACGCTACCTGACTTCAAACTATACTACAAGGCTATAATAACCAAAACAGCATGGTATTGGTACCAAAACAGCATGGTATTGGTACCAAAACAGACATATAGACGAATGGAACAGAACAGAGGCCTCAGAAATAACCCCATACATCTATAACTATGTGATCTTTGACAAACCTGACACAAACAAACAATGGGGAAAGGATTCCCTATTTAATAAATGGTGTCAGGAAAACTGGTGAGCCATATGCAGAAAACTGAAACTGGACCCCTTCCTTACACCTTATACAAAAGTTAACTCAAGATGAATTAAAGACTTAAACATAAGACCTAAAACCACAAAAACTATAGCAAACCTAGGCAATACCATTTAGGACACAGGCATGGGCAAAGACTTCATGACTAAAACACTAAAAGCAATGGCAACAAAAACCAAAACTGACAAATGCAATCTAATTAAACTACAGAGCTTCTGCACAGCAAAAGAAACTATCATCAGAGTGAACAGGCAACCTACAGAATGAGAGAAAATGTTTGCAATCTATCCATCTGACAAAGGGCTAATATCCGGAATCTACAAAGAACTTAAACAAAATTAAAAGAAAAAAAAATCAAGAATTTGGCAAAGGATATGAACAGACACTTCTCAAAAGAAATATTTATGTGGCCAAAAAACATGAAGAAAAGCTCATCATCACTGGTCATTAGTGAAATGCAAATCAAAACCACAGTGAGATACTATCTCACACCAGTTAGAATGGCAGTCATTAAAAAGTCAGGAAACAACAGATGCTGGAGAGGATGTGGAGAAATAAGAATGCTTTTACACCTTGGGGGGAATGTAAATTAGTTCAACCATTGTGGAAGACAGTGTGGCGATTCCTCAAGGATCTAGAACCAGAAATACAATTTGACCAAGCAATCCCATTACTGGGTATATACCCAAAGGATTATAAATTATTCCACTATAAAGACACATGCACATGTATGTTTATTGCAGCACTGTCCACAACAGCAAAGACTTGGAACCAACCCATATGCCCATCAATGATGGACTGCATAAAGAAAATGTGGCACATATACATCATGGAATACTATGAAGCCATAAAAAAGGATGAGTTCATGTTGTTTGCAGGGACATGGATGAAGCTGGAAACCATCATTCTCAGCAAACTAATACAGGAACAGAAAGTCAAACACTACATGTTCTCACTCGTAAGTGGGACTTGAACAATGAGAACACATGGACACAGGGAGGGGAACATAAAACACCACGGCCTGTCAGGGGCTATGAGGCTAGGGGAGGGATAGCATTAGGAGAAATACCTAATGCAGATGACAGGTTGATGGGTGTGGCAAACCACCATGGCACGTGTATACCTATGTAACAAACCTGCATGTTCTGCACATGTATTTCAGAACTTAAAGTATAATTACAAAAAGAAAGAAAAAGAAAACAACAAATAGACCCGGCACAATGGCTCACGCCTGTAATCCCAGCACTTTGGGAGGCTGAGGCAGGTGGATCACCTGAGGTGAGGAGTTCGAGACCAGCCTGACCAATATGGTGAAACCCCATCTCTACTAAAAATACAAAAATTAGCCAGGCATGGTGGTGTGCGCCTGTAGTCCCAGCTACTCCCGAGGCTGAGACTGGAGACTTGCTTGAACCTGGTAGGGGGTGGTTGCAGTGAGCCAAGATCATGCCACTGCACTCCAGCCTGGGCTAAAGAGCAAGACTCCATCTTTAAA
This sequence comes from Homo sapiens, assembly GCF_000001405.40. Taxonomy (NCBI): domain Eukaryota; kingdom Metazoa; phylum Chordata; class Mammalia; order Primates; family Hominidae; genus Homo; species Homo sapiens. The sequence continues at coordinate 112,683,761 of NC_000007.14, read as the reverse complement.
AAAAAAGAAAAAAGAAAACAGGAAATAAAAGTAGAAATGATGATAATGCAAATGCAGGCAAACAGTAAGAAAATGGCAAATCTGTTACTTTGACTCCTGGTAAAAGCTCTTGGCAGCTACTTTACAAGGTAAAAAGAATGATGATGACATTGGATCTGACAAACAGTACTATGGACTGAATTGTGTCCTTCTAAAATTCATACGTTGAAGTCCTAACTTCCAATGTGATGGCCTTTGGGAGGTAATTGGGTTCAGATGACATCATGAGGGCTAGGCCCTTATGATGGCATCAGTGCCCTTGTAAGAAGAGACTCAGAGAGCTAGCTGCTTCTGTCTGCCAGAATTAAGTAATGATACATACTACAACATGGATTTATCTTGAAGACATTATGCTAAGTGAAAGAAGCTAGTATCATAAGCCCACATATTATATGATGCCATTTATATGAAATGTTCAGAATGGGCAAATGTATACAGACAAAATGTACGTAAGTGGTTGCTAGTGGCTATGGAAATGGGGGGATAAGGAAATGATAATTAAAGAGTATAGAGTTTCATTTCGAGGTGATGAAAATGTTCTAAAATAGACTGTGATGATGGTTGTTCACGTTCCCATGAATACAAATAAAAACTATTGAATTGTACACTTTGGGTGAATTATATGGGATGTGAACTTATCTCAATAAAGCTATTTTTTTAAAATAGTGGGAATTATGTTTCATGAATTTTGTTGCTGGTGGCACATGATCAGAAAAAGTTTGAGACTACTTATTAGATGTTCTTGATGGATGAGTATATTCCAAATATACCTTAATTCTTGACATCTGTATCACTGTTTACAAGTTCTAAAGTAGCCTCATCTATAACTATTGTTGTTCGTGATGCCACACAAGTTCTGGTAAAGAAGGATGAAACTATTTCCTATTTTATTATATACAAAAAATAGGCCGGGATCATGCCTGTAACCTTAGCACTTTGGGAGGCCGAGGTGGGCAGATCACTTGAGGTCAGGAGTTCAAGACCAGCCTGGCCAATGTGGCAAAACCCCATCTCTACTAAAAATACAAAAATTAGCTGGGCGTGGTGGCACACACCTATAATCCTAGCTACTCAGGAGGCTGAGGCAGGAGAATCGCTTGAACCTGGGAGGCGGAGACTGCAGTGAGTATAGATCATGCCACTCTACTCCAGCCTGGGAGACAGAATGAGGCTCTGTCTCAAAATAAAACAAAAACTAAAACAAACTCTTCAGATACAGTCTAAGCAATATAATGCCTACTAACCTGCGTTCTAATTTTCTTCACTAAATTCCAATGTTTTTGGCCAGGCATTTACAGCCCAATAAGATAGACTTGCCAACCATCTAATTTATTTATGTTATATGAGTTAATAGCTGGGCTTTTTTTTTTTTTTTGTCCTGTCCTTACGTTGGATGCATAATCTGTGGACAAGACTATCTTGGAGCAGGAATTGGCAAACTTTTTCTGTAAACAGCCAAATAGTAAATATTTTACGCTTTGCAGCGATACCATCTCTGCCTCAATCACTCAGCTCTGGTGTCATAGCACAAAAGCTGCCATAAACAATTCATTAGTGAATGAGCATGGCTGTGTTCCAATAACTTTAGTGTGAACTCTGAAAATTGAATTTCATATAACTTTCACATGAAAATTATTCAGGATAACTTTTTTGTTTTTAATCATTTCAAAATATAAAAACATTCTTATAATGTGATCTTATAAAAACAAATGGCTGATTGAATCTGATCCTAGGCCTTAATTTGTCAACTCCTGTCTTTGACTATAACTGAAGAGAGATATAACTAAGGAAAACTCCTAAAATAATTATTATCCTTTAAAAACTTATTTCTGGCCGGTTGTGGTGGCTCCCACCTATAATCTCAGCAATTTGGAAAGCTGAGGTGGGCAGATCACTTGAGGCCAGGAGTTCCAGACCAGCCTGGTCAACATGGTGAGACCCCCGTCTCTATTAAAAAAAAAAAAAAAAAAAAAGATAAAAACTTTATTTGCTTTTCTTGAATATAGGGCTCACAGTGGGATTGGTGAGGTGGTGAAATCTCAGAAAATTACCAAAAGCTTTGCATTTGTGGCTTTTACACTTAAAATCTCTCAAATCTCATTATATACAATTAAAGTTAATTCTATCATTGACTGAGAACATAAATACAAACAACCAACCCCCTAAGCTGCTTAGTAAACTGCTTGGCAAGCTTGTAAATTAAAAAATGATTTTCATCCTCCTCAGCTGAGTGAATTTTATAGCCACTATAATCTTGAAAAATAGATGCTGGGGAAAAAGATCATCCAGCCATTCCCAGGGACCAACATAAAAAGTTTCTTCCTTTCCTTCTTTTCTCTTTTGTCTCTCTCTCTGATTGGTCATTCATAACCTTATACTTCTGATCACCGTGTTAATTTCCAACACACAAGTTGCAGCTAAGTAACACAAAAATAACCAGTTGAAGAAAAGTGAAAAAGTCAACCTACCAAATTATCATCTTCCACATTTACATAATAGTTTTACTGGATTTTCAAAAATGATCTAGTCATCATTGCTCTTACACTCCGTTGGGGCCCAAATTGTGTGGTGTGTGTGTGTGTGTGTGTGTGTGTGTCTGCCTATAGTTCCAGTAGTTTTGCTTCCGGGTGGAAAAATACATTCCCTGTTTTTATTTAGTCGTCATAAGTATTAATGGTTTGAAAACCAATATGGATTTTCTAATTAACATCTATCCCCAACTTTAAGCATACATGCCTAGATTGAAAGTTATAATTCTGAAATATGCCTTTCTGTTAGCTTTACCACTGTGATTGTGTGAGGGCCATCTAAAGACCACAATAATCCAGAAGAAAGACATTTTTAATAAACCAAATGTAACTGTTTTCTTCTTTTCTTCAATTTTTTTTTTTTTTTTTTTGGTTAAGGTACAAACAAATACCAATCACAATGAGAAAAACGTATTAAAACTAGAAGAAATTGGCATCTTCTCCAAGCACAATTTAATATAGCAACAAGAAAGCAAATTATATTGATAAATCACACTGGGTAGGAACTGGGTTATGAATCATGCCCTATTTGATTCTACTGTGAGACACATGTATTTGCATTCGAGTGAAAATTCCTATGCCTCTTTTCAGAGGTTTACTGAAGTGTATTTTTACTTTCCTGGTATCATCATCCTTTTCTATCTTTCCTCATTTCTTTCTCTAGGCTTTTTGGGCAAATTTAGAATGTGTTGTAACCATGGTGAGTCAGGCATATAATCAACATAAAATGAGTTATCAGGATAATTTTTAAAAAATATTTTTGATTATCCCTTCATTATATTGTGATATCTTTATGAAAATGGTTGATAAAATTTTAAAGCTAAATGACCCTTAGTGGGAGTAAATGCAAAATGAAAGTTTGAGGGGTAGCATATGAATTAGACTCCAGCATCTTTGGGATTCAGAAAAGCTAACAGGGAATACTGAATTATGAATTTCTTCCCTAGGCAAATAAAGCTCTAACTTTAGGAATTTCTGCAAGAAAATTGCAGCTTTGCATTATTTTCAGTCTGAAGCCAAGATATTCTTCTGAATATTGGCTTTCAAGCTTATATAATATTCATAAAGTCATCAGATACCAAGCTCAGGGATGTTGCACACATTTAATGTAGATATATTTTAAGTCCTCCAACACTGGCAAAGATGCAGATGCACATGCATTTCTTTATATCCGTTTTTCCTTTTCTTTTTTTTTTAACATCGACAAAGCAAAGGCAAACAAATAGACATACATTTAAGAAGTTAATTGAAGGCTGGGCACAGTGGCTCACATCTGTAACCCCAGCACTTTGGGAGACCAAGGTGGGTAGATCATGAGGTCAGGAGATTGAGACCAGCCTGGCCAACAAAGTGAAACCCCATCTCTACTAAAAATACCAAAAATTAGCTGGGCATGGTGGTGGGTGCCTGAATCCCAGCTACTTGGGAGGCTGAGGCAGGAGAATTGCTGAACTCAGGAGGCAGAGGTTGCAGTGAGCCCAGATCGCGCCACTACACTCCAGCCTGGGCAACAGTGCAAGACTCTGTGTCAAAAAAAAAAAAGGAGACGTTAATTGAAACAGAATCTCTAGCTGTTCTAGTGATTGGAAAAAGACCCAGTCTTTGAGATATAGCCATCTAATATGGAAGTGCTTGAATAATGATGTTCTACATATGTATCCTCTCAACCCATGTATTCAAGACATTTATGATTGACAGCTCTGGTATACAGTTCAAAGCTCTAATAGTAACTCAAGAGAAAAATAACCACTTGATGATGGTCTAAAATCATGATCAAGAGTTCTCAAACTTTTTTTTAAAGAAGGAAATCCTCATTTTAAACAAAATCATATACAGAATTCCCAGAATAGAAAGTATATTTTTTTAAAATAAGAGCTTATTTCATAAAACACACAAGCAAGTAAGATGGATTATCTAAATCGGAGGTCACCTATTGAGAACAAAATGCCAAATCAGGCCCACCACCTGGTTTTAGACAGCCCATGAGTTAAGAATGGCTGTTACATTTTTAACTTGTTGAAAACTATTAAAAGAAGAATATTTCTTCTTCACATGAAAAGTATATAAAATTCAGATTTCAGTATCCATATATAAAGTTTCATCAAAACACAGCTATAGTCATCTGTTTATCTATTATCTATGGCTGCTTTTGCATAGGCCACAGGTCAAACTTGAATAGTTGCGACAAAGAGATTATGCTTTACAAAGCAAAAATATTTATTATCTGTCCCTTTACAGAAAAAAACCTGCCAACTTCCGCTGTAAACTAGGAGATTTTAGCTCACTTCCCAAAAACACGTTTTACAACAATTTATTTTCCTTTAAGCTTTGGGTATTCTATTACTCTGCCAGCTGCACATATCCATGAGTATTAATCATCATGTCTACTTAAAGGTAGATTCCATCAATGGTCAGTTGCATATGCGCTTGCCCAGCTCTGTGCTTGTGCTTGGCCCTGTGGTGAGTTCTGAATGAATATAAGTTGTAACCTCTTTACAACTTGTAACCTCAAGTAGCTTTTTCTTTATTTTATTTTTATTTTTTTTTGAGACGGAGTCTCGCTCTGTCTCCCAGGCTGGAATGCAGTGCCGCGATCTCGGCTCACTGCAAGCTTCGCCTCCCGGGTTCACGCCATTCTCCTGGCTCAGCCTCCAGAGTAGCTGAGACTACAGGCGCCCGCCACCACGCCCGGCTAGGTTTTTTTTTTTTTTTTTTTTTTTTGTATTTTTAGTAGAGACGGGGTTTCACTGTGTTAGCCAAGATGGTCTCGATCTACTGACCTCGTGATCCGCCCACCTCGTCCTCTTTTAAGAGGACAATTAAAAGAGGGGGATTACAGGGATGAGCCACCGTGCCCGGCTCTACTCAAGTAGCTTAAAATCTAGCTCAAGAGAAAGCAATGTGCTTTTCGGCATTGAATCAAATGTGAAACTCAACTAACAAGAGCAAATCAAAGTGAAAATTAGAGACAATGGAGACCAGTAAAGAAAATAATTTCAAATTGAGCACTGAAAATCCGTATTCTTAAACCATTCCACCTTGTTGCTTGACCCTCCCCTTTCTCCCCTCTCCTCTCTCATTCCCAGTTCTCTCCATCTCCATCTCTAATGCAGAGGACTTAGCTGTTTTTCTTCCTTGGATGCTGCAACCCATGCTTTCAAGGTTCCACCTTTCATTCCAAGCACACCTTATCAAGATTTGTTCTGTAAACAAACATGATTCTCTCCCTAAGGGAAACTTTAATGCTACCTGTTAAGATAATGCTTAAAAAACAACAAAAATGCATTTCAACTGAGCAGGGGAAGGGAGAAGATAAGCACCCCTGGTGAGAGAAACATAAGCAAAGGTTTGGAGACAGAGGCATGGGGCAGTGAGGAAACAAGCTAAAAAAGAGCGGAGTTTCAATACAAAAGGTTAAAAGAAAGAAAGGTCAGAGAAGCAAGTACGATACAGCCAAAGGGCCAGGCAAAATGAAGGTAAAACATAGAGACAAAATCGAGAATCAAAGTACGTTTTTGAGCATAGGAATGTCCTGATGAAAGTGGCACTTACTGAATATGAATATTGAGGCTAGTTTCAAGGGGACACACATAAGGCCAAGAAGTCAGATGGGAGGATGTCATAATAATCTACATATAATATGGTAAGATCCTGGACTACAGTGGGAACAATGGGGATGAAGGGGAAAATGGCTATACAAATTTTCTAGAGAAAAAAATCTGCGTGACATAGCTTTCGGGAATGAAGGGAAGGAAAAAGAGAGGATTACAAGGTTTGAGCCTGAATGTCTTGAAAAATGGTAGAGATGTTATCAAACATATTACTACCTTTTAAATAAATGTGTAATCTATTTCTTTCCTGTTTGCATAAAAGAATTTGATCTTATAAAAAAGGCACATAGTCTTATACACAGGGAAATAAAGCTAAGACAGAGATCTAAGTTAATACAGAAAAAGGAAACTGAAGGTGATGTAATTCTCTAAGTATTAAATTTAGTTCTGACATTCCTTGCAGGTGAGGCAGATAGCTTCACAGCTGTGCAACTATCTATATTGTTTTCTCCAGAGATTATCACTTGCCTAACTGTAAGTTCTGGAACAAATCACATCAATCTTTACTATGCTGGGTAATGTAATAGATATGGTTTTAGTAGGGGTAGCTTAAAGATGTAGGAGATGCTTTTTATATGTCTGATCCATTGATCAATACCTCAGAAAATCTGGGAGAATGGTGTTAAGTCAGTTTTGTAAACACTTTCCTAAAATAAATGAGGCTGATATGGATCAAGTAGGGTGAGAATTGAGCCTGGTGTTTGGATTCATAATAATTAATTGTCTAGAATTTTGTCCTATTAATTTTGAGTAGAGTTGCATTAATATTATATTAACAACAGAGAATATTAGATGTTATTGTTAATATCCAATCTCCTTCTACTTCCTCTACTCTATAGTTTTTCCCAAAGCCACAGAAAATTCTTGTATTTCATGGAAATCCCTACTATCTCTCTGTCCTACATTGTAAAGAAAATTAAGACAACGTGGCATTTATTGAATGCTTATCATGTGCTAGCTTCTGTCCTAAATACCTCATAAATATGGTGTCATTTAAAACTCTCACCAACCCTATGAGGTAGATAGTTATTATCTTCATTTACAAAAGAAGAAAAAGAGGCAAAGACTGATTTTTAAAAGTGCCCAAGGACCAAGGCTACACATACGGCTGTGCAGATTGTGCACTGTACAACTCCAGAGTGTGCCATTCTAAACCCTGTATTATATGTACCCTACAGCTGCCTGCCAAGGTTACAGAGCTTGCCTTGCCTTGCACTGCCAAGGTCACAAAGCAATTGGTACAGCTAAGGTTCTAACCCAGGAACTCTAGCTGCAGACCTACTTTTTAACTTTTTTTTTATTTTTAGAGACAGGGTCTTGCTCCATCACCCAGTCGAGTGCAGTGGCAGGATCATAGGATCATAGCTCACTGTAGCCTCAAACTCCTAGACTCAAGCAAGCCTCCTGCCTCAAGCCTCCCAAGTAGCTGGGACTACAGGCACACGCCTCCACACCCAGTTCTGGTTTAAGGAACTACTTTACTTGAAACCAGGCTAATTTTTAAATTTTTTGTAGAGACAAAAATTTTGTCTCTACAAAAGGGTCCCACTATGTTGTTCAGGCTGGTCTCAAACTTCTTGCCTGAAGCAATCCTCCTGCCTCAGCTTCCAAATTTTTGGAATTACAGGCATGGGCCATCACACCTGGCCCTTACTTTTAATTATCATGCTAATCCAAGACTATTCCCTCCATGGGGTACTAATTAGTATTATCATACTAATCCAAGACTATTCCCTTTCACGAATTCGTATGAATTCTAATTTGTATGTAACTGATACTACTAATTCCTCCATTCCTCCTTAGGAATGTTAGGAATACCAATCCCTCAAATTTCACCGTTGGTAAGTTCCCGATTCTGGCAAGGTATTTTAGTATTATTTGGGGAACATTCATCATCATCATATACTTTATTTAAAAAGAACCTTCACATAACTAGGACTGTGACCAGCACATCACTGGTAGAAGCTGAGAAAAGGAGAGGGCATTCTTTAACCTAAACCAGAACTCCATCAATTAAAGTAGTTTCTTTCCTTGTATATTTATAAAGTGATTTTTTTATGCTAGGAGGATGTTTGAGATCTCTTTTTATCTCTTAATGCCAAGATAGCAGAGAATAAAACTGTAGGAGAAGATAAAGCAGAGGCTTATTAATAACATGTACTCATAATAATAAATATACATTACATTGCACTTGTTCTTAGCCAAAAAAATTTTTATTGATACTTAAAGTGAACAAACAAAAACAATACGACTGACTTCAGCCACTTCTGCCTGCAAATATGAGCAGAAGAATAGGGAGTTTAATTTCTAGAAGAGGAAGATGCACTCTTTAAATAGAAATCAGCAACTGAGCTAAGGAAGGAAAGCCTCAGCAGTGTTAACATTCAAAATATCCACACAAGTGTTCTTTTAGGGTGGAGACACCAGGTAGGTGGTCTTTTGTTCAGAAAAGCAGTTTAGAGTATTGCAATAAATGGGGTTTGTCAACCACAGCATTATTGACATTCTGGGCTCAATAATTCCTGTTTTCAGGGGGCGGGGGGCTGACTTCTGCATTGTAGGGTGTTCAGGAATATCCCTGGCCTCACCCCAATTGTGACAGCCAAAAATATCTCCAGACATTATCAAATGTCCCTTGGGGGGCAAAAATGACTCCAGTTGAGGATGCCTGGGATGGACAAAGGTAGATTCAGAAATGGATGGGGATCAGAGTTGGATTGCTCCCATCTGATGTTTCCAAAAGCCTAGTCCTTGGACCAGCAGGATTGCCAGCACCTGGGGGCTTGTTGGAAAAGCAGAATCTCAGGCTCCACCCCACACCCACTGCTACAGTTTGAATGTTTGTCCCCTCTGAAAGTCATGTTGAAACTTAATCCCCATTGTAATAGTATTAAGAGGATGGGAAATGCAACCATGGTATTTGAGAAGCAGAACATTTGGGAGGTAATTAGGATTAGAGAAGGACATAAAAGGGTGGCTTTATAAAAGAAAGAGAATCCTGAGCTAGCAACTCAGCCCCCTTACAGTGTGATGCCCTGAGCACCCTCGGACTCTGCAGAGAGTCCCCAGCAACTAGACGGCCCTCACCAGGTGTGTTACCACAAACTTCGACTTCCCAGCCCTCAGAACTGTAAGAAATAAATTCTTTTTCTTTATAAATCATCCATCTCAACTATTCAGTTAGAGCAACAGAAAACAGACTAAGACCCACTGAATCAGAATCTATATTATAATACAATCTCCAGGTGATCCATATGCATATTAAGTTTGAGAAGTACTGCTCGATCCATATGCATATTAAGTTTGAGAAGTACTGCTCTATCTGTGTTAAAACACAGGCATTTCTGAAACCCTGTATGTATGGAGAGAAAGAGTTAGAGGGATTTCAGGAAGCTCAAAGAAGTGGAGAATGACAAAGGACTGGAGAAAGAGTGAAGGGAAGAGGAATATGGTAGTGGGCAGAAAGTTTCTTTTTCTCTCTTTCTTCCTTTTTTTTTTTTTTAGATGCAGCCTCACTGTGTCACCCAGGTGGGAGTGCAGTGGCACAATCTCAGCTCACTGCAACCTCTGCCTCCCAGGTTCAAGCGATTCTCCTGCCTCAGCCTTCCAAGTAGCTAGGATTACGGGCTCACGTACCACACTCGGCTAATTTTTTATACTTTTTGATAGAAATGGGGTTTCACCAGTGGGCAGAAATTTTCTAAGGCAGGTAGCTGAAGACCTCTGGAAAAATAATGCTTAATGTTCAATTAAATTGTGTGCTGTGCTGTGATGCAATCCCTACTGCACTTTCCATGTCTGCAAACCTAGACTACTACTCTGCTACATACAGGAGCCTATATGACTTTGTGGGATTAAAGAAAAGTGGGCTATTCCATGTTTGTGTTCATGTGGGGGGCACACACAAGAGATCAGCTACAGGAGGCAAGACACAAAGAAGATCAGGAGTACAGTGGAAGCAGGAATTTAAAGCAAGAAATGACTAGGAGAAACATGGGCTCTAAAATCTCTAATAATATGGGAAGGGGCAGGGAGGAGGCCAGAGAATGGGAGATGCTGGCTCTGTATGTGGAATGGGATCTATAGCTATTTTCATATTAAAGGCAGAATGACTTTCCCTCTCCTTTCTTGTTAAAGGAGGAAAACCCCATACAGAAAGGGGAGCTTGGTACAGGTATCTAAGTTTGTATCAAACTCTCTATGTGTCCTATAGCTTGGGTATCAAACTCGGTTACTTACTGATTCTAGGGAAATGTGTATGTACTTCCAGAAATACATCTTTTTTTTTAGGTCCCTGTTTTCAATTAATCTGTATTTGTAACTAAGTAATCTGTATACATCACTAAATTCTCCATGTAATGAAATTCCAAACATGGATATTTTAGTAATGATCTTTCCATTAACCTCAATGTAAACAAGGGAAGATGCAGAACAAATGACTGACATATTTTTGCTACAGCCTTGCAATGAAATGGATGCCTTGGATGAATAATGAGATTGTATTTGGCACATTAGCATGAAATAGTTTGAAAAAAATCTATTGGTGCAAACTTTAGCATGTCAATCAAAAGTACTAAAACACTCATTAGTGTGAACAATCTCCCCGCTCCCTCTCACTCTGCCCTAAGAATCAACTGTTTTAAACAACGTAAGTTAAATTTTATGCTGAAGAAATGTTTGTTGTATAAACAATTTCCTTTACTCCTATTTTTGAAAACAGTTTGACAGTTTCTTAAAAAGTTAAACATATACTTACCATATGATCCAGCCATCCCACTCCTAAGTATTTACCCAAGATAAATGAAAACATATGTCCATATAAAGACTTGTACATAAATATTCCCAGCATTTGTAACAAGCCCAAATGAGAGAAAAAACACATTTCCATCAGCAGGTGAATAGATAAACAAATTGTGACTATTCATCCAATGGAATACCACTCAGCAATAAAAAGGAGAGAACTATTTATACATATTAAGAACATGGATGAATCTCAAGTTAATTGTGCTGAAAGAATTCAGACAAAAAAAGAGCACACACTGGATTCGTCTATTTATATTAAATTCTAGAAAATACAAACTAATTTATAGAAAGCAGATGAGTAGTTACCTGGATAATAGAGGAGTAGGAAGAGAATTACAGAGGAGCCTTAGAAATCTTTTGGGGGTGTATTAGCCATTTTCAACTGCTATCAAGAACTGCCTGAGAGTTCTCACAAGATCTGATGGTTTTATAAGGGGCTCTTCCACCTTTCCTCCCCAGCCATGGTGAACTGTGAGTCAATTAAATCTCTTTCCTTTATAAATTATCCAGTTTACTGAGAGTTGGATACAAATGTACAGTTTACTGGGTAATTTATAAAGGAAAGAGGTTTGACTCACAGTTCACCATGGCTGGGGAGGCCTCAGGTAACTTACAATCACGGCAGAAGGCAAAGGGGAAGCAAGGCACCTTCTTCACAAGGCGGCAGGAAGGAGTAGTGCCAAATGAAGGGGCAAGAGCTCCTTATGAAACCATCAGATGTCGTGAGAAGTCACTCACTATCGCAGGAACAGCATGGGGGAAACTGTCCCTATGATTCAATTACCTCCACCTGGTGTCTCCCTTGACACGTGGGGATTATGGGAATTATGGGGATTACAACTCAAGATGAGGTTTGGGTGGGGACACAAAGACTAACCATATCAGGGAGTAATGGGTATGTTATTATCTTGATTATGGTAATGGTTTCATGAGTGTACATGTATGCCATAGCTTCTCATACTGTACACTGTAAATATATGCCATTTATTATATATCAATTAACCCTCAATACAGCTGTAAGAAAAACATTAAATCAAACTCTTTTAAATGATAATCAGCCATAAATCAATTACAAAAAGAAACGCATGTGCTAAATATATTTAACGTTTTTAAAGCAAAATTGAGCTGTACTTTTCTACTTTCTGGGAATCTTTTCAATTAATCTTAATCAGCAGTAGAGCTTGTTTTACTTTTCTGTGTTACTGTCTGATGCTCAGTGGGTAGAGCACTGCAGTTTTGGTTATTAACATGCTTTCTGTGTCTTTTGTATTAATTAAACCTATCGTTCATGTTGCAACCGATATTTGTCTACTTAAATTTTTTATTGAAATAGGGCTTGGTATAGAATTCAATACCTATGGTTGTAAGAAAAGAGATACATACCCTCACTTAACTATGGCATTTTGTTTGCCAAAAGAGCTAGTTGCATGCATGCAGCACTCACTTGTATATCTATTTATCAAATGAGATAAATCTAAGAAAGCACTTTGTAAATTGTAAAATACTAGAGAGGTAGAAATTGTTACTGCTACTGCTCCACTGCTATTAATTAGTTAGGATGGGGAATGGTGAATATTAATTCATTTGCTCAATACAACCAGGTAATTTAGAAGGCTCTAACTCCAAAGTCAACCAATGTATTAATAACAAAATTAGCATAAAGCTGATATATGAGCAGATGAGGTACTGTTGTCATAGAAACACATCCAAGATGGGTGCAACCTGCACTACTTTTTTCTTCTATAACAGAATTGTAATAATACATAATTATAATACAATTACATAATTGTAATATAATATATATTGTATTACAATTTTGTTAGAGAAGGAAATGGTAGTGCTGGTTGCACCCATTTTGGATGTGTTCCTACAAAGAACACACACACACATATATATATACACACACACACACACAAATAGGTATATGTGCACACACGTTTGGCAGCCTCAGGATTATTGAGATTATAAAGAAATAATAAAATTTTAGGTGCAAACTAGGGATTTTGCATGTCAAATAAAACTCTGGTCAATGAGTGTCATCAACACTTAACATGAAGTCAAGTAACCCTCACAAATAATAAACCCTCTCCCAATTTCCCACACATTAGAGAGTACTATCTTGAAACAAAGATATCCCACAATCTCCTGTTCTGTAGAATCCTCTGTAGCTTCCTTTTTACCACCTATATTTTACCTTCTTTTCTGTTTTGTTCCCTAACCTCCTTTATTTAATTCTCTTTAGTCTGCTGTGCTCTTGAACTATAAATCAAAAGTTCAATTTTTTCTTCCTCATTCTCTTCCCAGGCTTTTTCTTTCCTGTGAGAATCGATGTCAATCAAATGCTTATAAAACTCCTTTCACGTAATTTTTTTCAGAGCAATGCCACAGTTAAAAGCTTGCTAGGATTCGCAGTGCAGTTTTTCTTGCTCATCCCGAGCACATCACAGACAAAGGATCACTGAGGGTTTGAGTATTCTACCTTATACATTCTAAAGGATTTAAAATGAAAAAATATTTTCATGTCTCTCAGCTGAGGCCTTAAAAGCCTATCTTTTATTTCTGAGGCTGAAGAAGGTCTGGGATTCTCTCTCTTGGGCCTGGATTTCCATTCTCAATGTATCATATCATGGATTTTTTAAAAAGATGATCATTAGATTACCAATTTAACTAGTAGAAGACTAGATGCCAAAATTTATGAACTGTATGTATTGGTCAGGGTTCTCCAGAGAAATTGAACCAATGGGAGATAATGCATATATATATATATATGATGGAATTTATTAAGTTGTTGCTCAGGCATTATGGAGTCTGAGAAGGTTCACAATCTGCAATCTACAAGCTAGAGGCCCAGGAAAGCTGGTGATGTAGTTCCAAGGTCTGAGAGCCTGAGAGCCAATAGTATAGATTCCAGTCTGGGTCTAAAGACTTGAGAGCCAGGAGCACCAACAGAGGAAGACTGATGTCCCAGATCAAGCAGTCCGTCAGAGTTAATTAAACCTTCCTTGGCCTTTTTGTTCTATTCAGGCCCTCAATGGACTGGATGATACCCACTCATGCTGGGGAGGGTCATGTGCTTTACTCAGTCTGCCCATTCAAATGGGAATTTTTTCCAGAAACATCCTCAGAGGCACATGAGGATGAGAAATAATGGTTAGCCAGCAGCCCATGACACTCAAGACCCAATCAAGTTGGCCTATAGAATTAATCATCACAATGTAATATGATGATGTAAGTGTTGGTTTGGATTTTGAATAACATGGATATTGAGATGAGGCAAAGAGTAGAATAACTGAGTCATCTGGTAGCAACTGGTAAGAACCACAATACTCCTGTTAGCCTCACAAAAAAAGGACACCCTCTCCCATTATGGGTTTGGGATAGCAGTATTCTCTTTGGCCAGCTGTGGACACTTATATGTCTGCTGAGACAGTTACTAAAGAGGCCACAGCCTCTGACTGAAAGAAGTATAACCCAGGATCCTGGCACCCTTCAGGCTGCTTAGACTGTAGCATGGACCAAATACCACCCAGCTAGAGACACTGCAGGATGCACCTCTTCCTGAGGAACACTCCCACTCCCAGGGCCATAGGAGGAAATAACAAGACATGCTTTTAATGTGAATATATGTAAGTATGACTGCTCTCTGTTACAAGGCAGAGCCTAATAGGAAAACATCCAAAGTCACAGCCCCTGGCCACCATCAATACAATCCACAAACCAATCTAGATCCTTCTGATTTTCCTTCAAAATAATAATTTCATTAATGCCCATTACTGTAACCAGCCCAGGCTGTGGTTTTGTCATGTGTAGATTAAGTAACTATTATATCTTGAAGGCCTGCCACATGACAGGCACTTCACATACATCATTATTCTCACAATCACACTTAACTTAATAGTAAAGCTATTTTATGGATGAGGAAAACAGTGGAAAGCTGTTTCTGTTTGGCTGACACACCTTCCTTTCCCACATCCTCTTTTGGGGCTCCTGCTCTGCCCCATTCCTGTGATGCCAATGACAGTGCTCTCATTCCTGCTCCCAGACATATTTAGGTCAACCTCTGGCCACAGAGATGTCCCGGGGTGAGACAACAACAATCAATCATGCAATAACAACAACAGCTTTGTGCTGGCAACTATTCCAAACACTTTAAATATTTTAAGTCATTTACTCCTTACAACAACCCTATGATGTAAGTCCTATTGTTTTTCCCATTTATCAGAAGAGGAGACAGAGGCACAGAGATTTAAGAAACTTGCCTAAGCTTATAAGTTAGGCTTTTCTCAAAACTTAAGGACTTCGGTTGGGCGCGGTGGCTCACGCCTGTAATCCCAGCACTTTGGTAGGCTGAGGCAGGTGGATCATGAGGTCAGGAGATCAAGACCATCCTGGCCAGGTGAAACCCCGTCTCTACTAAAAATACAAAAATTAGCCAGGCATGGTGGCATGTGCCTGTAATCCCAGCTACTCGGGAGGCTGAGGCATGAGATTCGCTTGAATCAGGGAGTCGGAGGTTGCAGTGGGCCAAGATCGCGCCACTGCACTCCAGCCTGGCGACAGAGCGAGACTCCGTCTCAAAAAAAAAAAAAAAAAAAGTAAAGACTTCAATTGTAGAAAGAGCCCTTTTCTCCTTGGCAATGAAGCAAGAAGAGGTGAGCACAAAGTTATGAATAGTCACATCCCTTACCCCATTGTGAAACCTTCCCCAACTTCCTTAGAGAAGAAAAGAGAATTCTGGCAGGTTTTATATCTCTAGTTCAATTTCTTGAGTTCCCCCAGCTGTCTGGGTTCATGTTTTCCCAAACCTTGGTTGTTCAGCTTTGTGAGGCCAATCCAGTAATTATCCAAGAAATTTCTTCTTTTGTTAAATCTAGATTGAGTTGGAATTCAATTACTTGCCAGCAAAAGATTCCTGATTTATATAAGAAGTAGGCTCAGAGAGGCTAGATGATAAAGGTAGTGTTACCACCAGGCTTTTCTGATTGGAAAGGTGCTCTCTGTCAGGCCTCTGAGCCCAAGCTAAGCCATCATATCCCCTGTGACCTGCACATATACATCCAGATAGCCTGAAGTAACTGAAGAATCACAAAAGAAGTGAAAATGGCCTTTTCCTGCCTTAACTGATGACATTACCTTGTGAAATTCCTTACCCTGGCTCATCCTGGCTCAAAAGCTCCCCAACTGAGCACCTTGTGACCCCCACTCCTGCCTACCAAAGAACAACCCCCTTTGACTAATTTTCCTTTACCTACCCAAATCCTATAAAATGGCCCCACCCCTATCTCCCTTCGCTGACTCTCTTTTAGGACTCAGCCCGCCTGTACCCAGGTGAAATAAACAGCCTTGGTGCTCACACAAAGCCTGTTTGGTGGTCTCTTCTCACGGACGGGAGTGACTCTCTACTCTATTTGACCACCTCTTCTCCTTGGAAGCCTCCTCAGCAGGCCTGTCATCATAGGATCTTGCCATTTCATTTCCTTCTGTTTATCACTGCACAGTTAGCCTTTCTTCTCTTTTTTTTTTTGAGACAGTCTCACTCTTTTCACCCAGGCTAGAGTGCAATGGCACAATCTCGGCTCAGTGCAACCTCTGCCTCCCAGTTTCAAGTGATTCTCCTGCCTCAGCCTCCCAAGCAGCTGGGATTACAGGCAACAGCCACCACACCCAGCTAATTTTGTATTTTTAGAACAGACGGGGTTTCGCCATGTTGGTCAGGCTGGTCTCAAACTTCCAACCTCAGGTGATCCATCCACCTTGGCCTCCCAAAGTGCTGGGATTACAGGTGTGGGCCACCACATCTGGCCACCTTTCTTAAATATTGCTTTTCAGCACTTTTAAATTTCTCCAAAAGTTTTCAGTATTTTCTGATGCATCAAACCCAAACCTCTCTGCTTAGTTTTCAACACACTCCAAATCAGGCCTTATGTAAATTTGAAAACTTTTCCACCATCCTCCACCCAATAAGAACCTAGACCAATCAATGTCATTCACATTTCTGTAATTTCTTTACTCAAGTCCTTTCAAATGACAAACATTGAACCCATTCAAGACTCAGTTCAGGGAATCTACTCTAATTATCATTAACTTCTTTAAGAGTATCAGAACTACTTTGAAAACCTAATTTACAAGGGTAAGTGGAACCAGAATATTTATCTTCATATCTACATATATGATATGGTTTGGCTCTGGGTCCCCACCCAAATCTCATCTCGTAGCTCCCATAATTCCCACATGTTGTGGAGGGACCCAGTGGGAGATGACTGAATCATGGGAGTGGGTCTTTCCTGTGCTGTTCTCATGATAGTGAAGGAGTCTCACAAGATCTGATGGTTTTAAAAATGGGAATTTCCCTGCACAAGCCCTTTCTGCCTGCTGCCATCCACGTAAGATGTGACTTGTTCCTCCTTACCTTCCACCATGATTGAGGCCTCCCCAGCCATGTGGAACTATGAGTCCAATTAAATCTCTTTCTTTTGTAAATTGCCCAGTTTCAGGTATGTCTCTATCAGCAGTGTGAAAATGGACTAATTCTATATACTTTCATTTCATCTGTTAAATTCTCATGAAAGTATTGCTAATCGGGAAATGTAAAACAGATGTTGTAGGAAAAAAAATTGTAGAATGGATTCCATCTTGAGTAATTGTGAAGCTTATTTCCTTTCAAACTTTTGTCTTTTAGTTAATGTCTCATGTTTTATTTTCTGTTTGGTGACAAACACATCAGAATTCAGATAAAAATCCATCTGCATGGGAAAAAACAAGGACTATGATTTTCTCCAAACATATATCTCTTAACTGAGATATACTGTCTTTCCTGCAAGAAGTTCAAAGGCTTTCCCCTGTGTGAAATCTGCTGCTCCCCAGTGGCAGTCTTCAGGGAAGCTGGGCTTGCAGTCCTCCCATTCCAAAGCAATTCACTCTTGAGCACACTCAGGAGTTCTGCAATCCAATTAAGTGGAAAGTCACAAAGCACACTGATGACAGGCAGAACTCTACCTCCTGTTGTTTCTAAAAATGCTATTTCTACTTTATTTTTCCTGAATCTTGGAAGATATGTTATAATTTCTGGTTAAAGTAAAAACTGTTTTGAGTCTTTGACTTTATGTGGAACTTAAAGATCCTCCACTTTTATGGGTTAATGCTCCTACAAGCCTTGTTTGGCTTGTTCTCTAACTCTCACAATGTTCAAATGTGATTTATAAAAGGAAAATTAATAAACATCTAGAAGACAATAAAAGAAATATTCTCATGCCTTCAGGATGAGAAACAAATTTCTGCAACAGGACACAGAAAAAGTACCAACAATTAAAAAAAAACTGATGAATTTGACTTTTTTAAAATCTAAAACTTATGTTCCTCAAATGACACAGTTAAGACAGTTAAAACACACACACACACACACACACACACACACAAACAGCCACAGACTGGGAGGAGATATTTTACATATATAAGAACAAATTAATAAGAAAAAATAATCTGTTTTTAAAATAATGAGCAAAAGCCTTGAACCAGCACTGCACAAAATAGAAAATCCAAATAAACATCAGCTTTGTGAAAAGTAATGAATTTCATTAGTAATCAAGGAAGTGCAAATAAAGATGCAATATCAGTATCGCCTATTTAGCTAAAATTCAAAACTTGAAATACTATATTTGAAGAATTAGATCACTAGACTACATCACTGATGGAAGCATAAATCGTTACCACCATTTGGAGAAACTTGTTGGTGTTATCTACAAAAGTCAAGAATATTCATCCTATGATAAAATAATCCACTCGTGAATATACAACTTAATAGAAATATGTGCACAAAAGTGTTCATAGAAGCATCATTATTCATAAGAGCCCAAACCTAGCTATAAACACAAATATCCATCAGCAGTAAAACAGATAAATTATGGTATGTTCTATAGTGGAATACACTACAAAAACTAAAACAAATAGCTACACCTAACAACATAGAAGAATTTCAAAAATATTGGGTAGAGCAAAGCCAACACACACACACATACAGAAGTACTATGTGATTATACTTATAGGATGCTCAAAAATCAGGCAAAACTAAACCATAAAGTTAAGATAGTGCTTGCCTTTAAGAAAGAGAATACATTGAGCTGTGCAGTTATAATTTGTGCATTTTTTTCTACATGTATGTTAAACTTTGATTTAAATATATTAAAAAAATTATTGGCACTAGCAATTAGAAAATGATCAGATTTCTCAGAAGATTTTCAATAGACTAATTTGACTAAAAGGCTGATTTAAAGTTTTTATATAAAATGGAAGTGAAAAAAATGGAGGCAGTTGGCATCCAAACATTGAAAACATTGAAGCAATCAGTATCAGCTCACCCAAATATAAATTATAATAAGCATATTTGTTTATGTGTACAATTAACTTGCTTGCTCCTCAATCTTTAATTTAGCTTTAGTGTAAATCTTCACACAGATGGTTCCTATTGTTTAAATTAACCATAGTAATCCATAAACTCAATAATGAACATCCATACTCTACAGAATTGAGAAGCATTTTCAGTTTTGTGATACAAATGGCTAATCTTGGATGACTTTGTTAGTTGTGACTTTGAATTAATGGTATGTCTGGCTTGAAAATTTGTTTTTAAAATAATAAATATTGAAAGGTGAGTTTTAATTATCAATGCACACACAGTTTATCTCCAGTTCTAATAGCAATAGAGCTTCAGTATTCATACTCTATTTTTCACATTCTGAGTGAGATGACCCAGCAATACCTACTGTAATTAAAAAATTAATACAAATATAAGAAATGTACTCCAATGTAAAAATTAAAACAGAGGTAAGTGGCACAAAATAAATTTTTATTCAAGAAAGTAATGAATAACTTTGCTATGTTTCTAAGTCTGATTTTCTTATTAGAATAACTATTCAGTCTTCCATTTTGGAACTTGCTTACTTTCTTTTTATATAACAAAAAGCTATTCTCATTTTATTAAAACCATTCCATTAACTAGGTGACCTTTCACTTCATAAGACTTGGCACTAAGTTTGATTCAAATTCCAAGCCTAAAGCACTCTCAGCTGAAGGCAAACAAATATTTCTGAGCCTGAGCTTCAGAGAGAGGTTCCACACCACTTTCTGCATTAAGGTTCTCTGCCTTAATCAGTTGGGAGGGATTACTGCAACTCTAACTCACAAATTTGGTGAAGAGTGTTAAGTCCCATGGTCATAAAGCCATCAAATAAATATTTTGAAATACTGATTAAAGTTTAAAATTCACAGAATCATAATTTCTGAAGGTATTCTCAAAGTGAAACTCAAAGTTGGATGTATTTTGAAATTTACCAAAAATGTAAACTTAACAAATAAACTTTTTCATTGCTGTAGGATTAAGATTACTGGGTTAACAAAATTATAAAAACCCTGGAAGACAACCTAGGCAACACCATTCAGGACATAGGAATTGGCAAAGACTTCATGATGAAGATACCAAAAGTAATTGCAACAGAAGCAAAAATTGACAAATGGGATCTAATTAAATGAAAGAGCTTCTGCACAGCAAGGAAACTATCAACAGAGTGAACAGACAACCTACAGAATGCAAACTATGCAAAAATTTGACAAAGGTCTAATATCCAGCATCTATAAGAAACTTAACCAAATTTATAAGAAACAAACAACCCCATTAAAAAATGGGCAAAGGACATGAACAGACACTTTTCAAAAGAAGACATACATGTGGCCAACAATCATATGAAAAAAATTTCAGCAAGGATTGCTGGCAAGATGGCTGAATAGGAACAGCTCTGGTCTGCACCTCCCAGTGAGATTGATGCAGAAGGTGGGTGATTTCTGCATTTCCAACTGAGTTACCCAGTTCATCTCATTGGGACTGGTTGGACAGTGGGGGCAGCCCAAGGAGGGTGAGCTGAAGCAGGGTGGGGTATTGCCTTACCCAGTAAGCACAAGGGGTCAGGGAACTCCCTCTACCAGCCAAGGGAAGCCATTAGGGACTGTACCTTGCACTCCGGCCCAGATACTGTGCTTTCCCCATGGTCTTTACAACCCACAGGCCAGGAGATTCCTTCCCATGCCTACACCACCAGGGCCCTGGGTTTCCAGCACAAAACAGGGTGGTCATTTGGGTGGACACTGAGCTAGCCACAGAAGTTTTTTTTTTTTTTTTTTCATACCCCAGTGTTGCCCAGAACACCAGTGAGACAGAACTGTTCACTCCCCTGGAAAGGGGGCTGAAGCCAGGGAGTCAAGTGGTCTGGCTCGTTGGGTCCCACCCCGACAGAGCCCAGCAGGCTAAGATCCACTGGCTTGAAATTCTCACTGCTAGCACAGCAGTCTGAGCTGGACCTGGGATGCTCAACCTTGGTAGAGGGAGGGGTATCCACCATTGCTGAGGCTAGAGTAGGCAGTTTTACCCTCACAGTGTAAACAAAGACGCCAGGAAGTTCAAACTAGGCAGAGCCCACTGCAGCTCAGTAAGGCCAGTGCAGCCAGACTGCCTCTTCAGAGTCCCTCCTCTTTGAGCAGGGCATCTCTGAAAAAAAGGCAGCAGCCCCAGTCAGGGGCTTATAGATAAAACCCCCACCTCCCTGGGACAGAGCACCTGGGGAAAGGGGTGGTTGGGGCACAGATTCAGCAGAATTCAATGTTCCTGCCTGGCAGCTCCGAAGAGAGTAGCAGATCTCCCAGCACAGCATTTGAGCTCTGTAAGGGACAGACTGCCTCCTCAAGTGGGTCCCTGACTCCTATGTATCCCGACTAGGAGACACCTCCTGATAGGGGCCTACAGACACCTCATACAGGAGAGCTCTGGCTGACATCTGGCGGGTGCCTCTGTGGGATGAAGCTTCCAGAGGAAAGAACAGCCAGCAATCTTTGCTGTTCCACAGCCTCCACTGGTGATACCCAGGCAAACAGGGTGTGGAGTGGACCTCCAGCAAACTCCAGCAGACCTGCAGGAGAGGGGCCTGACTATTAGAAGGAAAACTAACAAACAGAAAGGAATAGCACCAACATCAACAAAAAGGATGTCCACTCAGAGATCCCAGCTGAAGGTCACTGACATCAAAGACCAAAAGTAGATAAATCCACGAAGATGGGGAGAAACCAGCAAAAAAAGCTGAAAATTCCAAAAACCAGAAGAACCTCTTCTCCTACAAAGGATCACAACTCCTCACCAGCAAGGGAAAAAAATTGGATGGAGAATGAGTTTGACGAATTGTCAGAAATAGGCTTCAGAAGGTGGGTAATAACAAACTCCTCCGAGCTAAAGGAGCATGTTCTAACCTAATCCAAGGAAGCTAAGAACCTTGAAAAAAGGTTAGACTAATTGCTAACTAGAATAACCAGTTTAGAGAAGAACATAAATGACCTCAGCTGAAAAACATGGCACAAGAACTTCGTGAAGCATACACAAGTATCAATAGCTGAATCTATCAAGTGGAAGAAAGGCTATCAGAGATTGAAGATTAACTCAATGAAATAAAGCGAGAAGACAAGATTAGAGAAAAGAGTGCAAAGAAAGGAACAAAGCCTCCAAGAAATATAGGACTATGTGAAAAGACCAAATCTACGTTTGATTGGTGTACCTGAAAGTGATGGGGAGAATGGAACCAAGTTGGAAAACACTCTGCAGGATATTATCCAGGAGAACTTCCCCAACCTAGAAAGGCAGGCCAACATTCAAATTCAGGAAATACAGAGAACACCATAAAGATGCTCCTTGAGAAGAGCAACCCCAAGACACATAATCGTCAGATTCACCAAGGTCGAAATGAAGGAAACAGTGTTAAGGGCAGCCAGAGAGAAAGGTCAGGTTACCCACAAAGGGAAGCCCAACAGACTAACAGTGGATCTCTCAGCAGAAAACCTACAAGCCAGAAGAGAGTGGGGGCCAATATTCAACATTCTTAAAGAAAAGAATTTTCATCCCAGAATTTCATATCCAGCCAAACTAAGGTTCATAAGCAAAGGAGAAATAAAATCCTTTACAGACAAGCAAATGCTGAGAGATTTTGTCACCAGCAGGCCTGCCTTACAAGAGCTCCTGAAGGAAGCACTAAATGTGGAAAGGAACAACTGGTAGCAGCCACTGCAAAAACATAAGAAATTGTAAAGACCATCAATGCTATGAAGAAACTGCATCAACTAATGGGAAGAATAACCAGCTAGCATCATAATGACAGGATCAAACTCACACATAACAATATTAAGCTTAAAAGTAAAGTAAATGGGCTAAATGCCCCAACTAAAGGACACAGAGGGCAAACTGGATAAAAAGTCAAGAACCATCAGTGTGCTGTATTCAGGAGACCCATCTCATGTGCAAAGACACAGACAGGCTCAAAATAAAGGGATGGAGGAAGACTTATCAAGCAAATGGAAAGCAAAATAAAGTAGGGGTTGCAATCCTAGTCTCCTGATAAAACAGACTTTAAACCAACAAAGATCAAAAGAGACAAAGAAGGGCATTACATAATGGTAAAGGGATCAATGCAACAAGAAGAGCTAACTATCCTAAATATATATGCTTCCAATGCAGGAAAACCCAGATTCATAAAGCAAGTTCTTATAGACCTACAAAGAGACTTAGACTCCCTCACAATAATAGTGGGAGACTTTAACACCCCACTGTCAATATTAGACAGATCATAGAGACAGAAAATTAACAAGGATATCCAGGACTTGAACTCAGCTCTGGACCAAGCAGACCTAATAGACATCTACAAAACTCTCCACCCCAAATCAACAGAATATACATTCTTCTTAGCACCACATCACACTTATTCTAAAACTGACCACATAATTGGAAGTAAAACACTCCTCAGCAAATGCAAAAAAAACAGAAATTATAACAAACAGTCTCTCAGACCACAGTGCAATCAAATTAGAACTCAGGATTAAGAAACTCACTCAAAACCATGCAACTACATGGAAACGGAAAAACCTGCTCCTGAATGACTACTGGGTAAATAACGAAATTAAGGGAGAAATAAAGATGTTCTTTGAAACTAATTGTTGAGAACAAATATACAACATGCCAGAATTTCTGGGACACATTTAAAGCAGTGTGTAGAGGGCAATTTATAGCACTAAATGCCCACAAGAGAAAACAGGAAAGATCTAAAATCAACACCTTAACACCACATTTAAAAGAACCAGAGGCGAGGCGCAGTGGCTCATGCCTGTAATCCCAGCACTTTGGGAGACTGAGATGGGCAGATCACGAGGTCAGGAGATCGAGACCATCCTGGCTAAAACGGTGAAACCCCATCTCTACTAAAAATACAAAAAAAAATTAGCCGGGTGTGGTGGCGGGCACCTGTAGTCCCAGCTACTGGGGAGGCTGAGGCAGGAGAATGGTGTGAACCCGGGAGGCAGAGCTTGCAGCAAACCGAGATTGCCCCACTGCACTATAGCCTGGGTGACAGAGCGAGACTCTGTCTCAAAAAAAAAAAAAAAAAAAAAAAAAGAACTAGAGAAGCAGGAGTAAACAAATGTAAAAGAAGGCAAGAAATAACTAAGATCAGAGCAGAACTGAAGGAGATAAAAACACAAAAAACCCTTCAAAAAGTCAATGGATCCAGGAGCTGGTTTTTTGAAAAGATCAACAAAATAAGTAGACCACTAGCAAGACTAATAAAGCAGAAAAGAGAGAAGAATCAAAAAGATGCAATAAAAATGATAAAGGGGATATCACCACCCACCCCACAGAAATACAAACTACCATCAGAGAATACTATAAACACCTCTATGCAAATAAACTAGAAAATTTAGAAGAAATGGATAAGTTCCTGGACACATACACCCTCCCAAGACTAAACCAAGAAGAAGCTGAATCCCCAAATAGACCAATAACAAGTTCTGAAATTGAGGCAGCAATTAATAGCCTACCAACCAAAAAAAGTCCAGGACCAGATGGATTCACAGCCGAATTATACCAGAGGTAAAAAGAGGAGCTGATAATATTCCTTCTGAAACTATTCCAAACAAGAGAAAAAGAGAGAATCCTCCCTAACTCATTTTATGAGGCCAGCATCATCCTAATAACAAAACCTAGCAGAGACTCTACAAAAAAAGAAAATTTCAGTCCACTATCCCTGATGAACACCCATGTGAAAATCCTCAATAAAATACTGGCAAACTGAACCCAGCAGTACATCAAAAAGCTTACCCACCACCATCAAGTCACTTTATCCTGGAAATGCAAGGCTGTTTCAACACACACAAATCAATAAATATAATCCATCACATAAACAGAACCAATGACAAAAACCACATGATTATCTCAATAGATTCAGAGAAGGCCGTCAACAAAATTCAACAGCCTTTCATGCTAAAAACTCTCAATAAACTAGGTATTGATGGAACCTATCAAAATAGTAAGAGCTATTTATGACAAACCCACAGCTAATATCATACTGAATGGGCAAAAGCTGGGTACATTCCCTTGGAAAACTGGCACAAGACGAGGATGCCCTCTCTCACCACTCCTATTCAACATAGTATTGGAAATTCTGGCCAGGGCAATCAGGCAAGAGAAAGAAATAAAGGGTATTCGATTAGGAAAAGAGGAAGTCAAATTGTCCCTGTTTGTGGATGACATGATTTTCTATTTAGAAAACCCCATCATCTCAGCCCAAATCTACCTAAGTTGATAAGCAACTTCAGCAAAGTCTCAGGATAGAAAATCAATGTGCAAAAATCACAAGCATTCCTATACACCAATAACAGAGAACCAAATCATGAGTGAACTCCCATTCACAATTGTTACAAAGAGAATAAAATACCTAGGAATACAACTTACAAGGGATGTGAAGGACCTCTTCAAGGAGAACTACAAACCATGGTTCAAGGAAATAAGGGAGGACACAAACAAATGGAAAAACATTCCAGGTTCATGGATAGGAAGAATAAATGTCGTGAAAATGGCCATATTGCACAATTTAATTTATAGATTCAATGCTATCCCCATCAAGCTACCATTGACTTTCTTCACAGAATTGGAAAATACTACTTTAGAGTTCATATAGAACAAAAACAGAGCTTGCATAGCCAAGACAATCCTAAGCAAAAAGAACAAAGCTGGAGGCATCACACTACCTGACTTCAAACTATACTACAAGGCTACAGTAACCAAAATAGCATGGTACTTGTACCAAAACAGATATATAGACCAATGGACCAGAACAGCAGCCTCAGAAATAATGCCACACATCGACAACCATCTGATCTTTGATAAATCTGACAAAAACAAGCAATAGGGAAAGGATTCCCTATTTAATAAATGGTGTTGGGAAAACTGCTAGCCATATGCAGAAAGCTGAAACTGGCTCCCTTCCTTACACCTTATACAAAAATTAACTCAAGATGAATTAAAAACTTAAACATAAGACCTAAAGCCATAAAAACACTAGAAGAAAACCTAGGCAATACCATTCAGGACATAGACATAGCCAAAGACTTCTTGACTAAAACACCAAAAGCAACGGCAATAAAAGCCAAAATTGACAAATGGGATCTAATTAAACTAAAGAGCTTCTCCACAGCAAAAGAAACTACCATCAGAGTGAACAGGCAACCTATAGAATGGGAGAAAATTTTTGCAATCTATCCGGTGACAAAGGGCTAATATCCAGAATCCACAAAAAACTTGAATAAATTTACAAGAAAAAAACAACCCCATCAAAAAGTGGGCAAAGGATATGAACATTTATGCAGCCAACAAACACATTTATGTTTGTTGTCTCTCAAAAGAAGACATTTATGCAGCCAACAAACATATGAAAAAAAGCTCATTTTTCACTGGTCATTAGAGAAATGCAAATCAAAACCACAATGAGATACCATCTCACACCAGTTAGAATGGTGATCATTAAAAAGTCAAGAAACAACAGATGCTGGAGAGGATGTGGAGAAATAGGAACGCTTTTACACTGCTGGTGGGAGAGTAAATTAGTTCAACCATTGTGGAAGACAGTGTGGCAATTCCTCAAGGATCTAGAACCAGAAATACCATTTGACCCGGCAATCCCATTACTGAGTATATACCCAAAGGATTATAAGTCATTCTATAAAGACACATGCACACGTATGTTTATTGTGGCACTGTTCACAATAGCAAAGACTTGGAACCAACCCAAATGCCCATGAATGATAGAAATATGGAAATTGGATAAAGAATATTTGGCACATATACACCATGTAATACTATGCAGCCATAAAAAAGGATGAGTTCATGTCCTTTGCAGGGACATGGATGAAGCTGGAAAACATCATTCTCAGCAAACTGCCACAAGAACAGAAAACCAGACACCACATGTTCTCACCCATAAGTAGGAGTTGAACAATGAGAACACATGGACACAGGGAGGGGGAACATCACACACCAGGGCCTGTCAGGGGATGGGAGGCTAATGGAGGGATAGCATTAGGAGAAATACCTAATGTAGATGATGGGTTGATGGGTGCAGCAAACCCCCATGGCATGTGTATGCTTATGTAACAAACCTGCATGTTCTGAACCTGTACCCCAGAACTTAAAGTATAATAAAAAAAAAAAAAGAAAAAAATCTCAGCATCACTAAGCATTACAGAAATGCAGACTAAAACCACAATGAATTACCATCTTAGACCAGTGAGAATGGCTACTATTAAAAAGTCAAAAGATAACAGATGCTGGCGAGGTTGTGGACAAAAGGGAATGCTTACACACTGTTGGTGGGAGTGTAAATTAGTTCAACCATTGTGGAAGACATTGTGGTGATTCCTCAAAGACCTAAAAGCGGAATTACCATTCAACCCAGCAATCCCATTACTAGGTATATATCCAAAGGAATATAAACCATTCTGTCATAAAGACACATGGATGCATACGTTCAACGAAGCACTCTTCACAGTAGTGGAATTAGCAGCCTATTTGAATGGAAAAGGGAATATAATGGAAGTGGAATGGAAAAATGCTTGTTTTAAAAATAACAATGCAGAATTTTAATTTTCTATTGCAAAACTCTTGACATTAGGAATACAATCTTGAAAAGATATTAGCTAAAGTAAGCACAGCAAATTTCTGGTTTAATAAATATTATAGTTAACTTCTTCCTTGGAACAACTATTTAGGTAAAACACATTTTAACAACTCTAGACTATACCATTTATGCCTACATCTTAGCATATATACATAGTAATTTGTACATAAACATTCATTTTTAAAGAGCAAGGGGAAAATAAATTAGTAGCTAAAAAGCAGAAAAGACAGCTGTTAAATTCAATGAGAGTATTGCATTAGAATAGTTGGTGAGAATCTTTCATTTGAAGTGCATACTAAGGAGGCATTAAAAGATTTCTAACCACACAAAATTAGACACTTAGGTTGCCAAATATTTATGTTTTTTTTTCTCTCTGAAGCCCAACAATTTCATGCAAAACTTTCATTTGCATTTCAGGCAAAATTTCAAAAACATTTTGCTTTTAAAAAACAATCAGCAATCTGTTCCTCCAATCTGTAGGGGAATAAATGTAAAGAGTTCACTGAACTTCCACCTCCATTATCAATAATCACCAAATTCTGCAGAATATATTGGCTATAGTTTTCATGTTTGTCTCACAAACCTTATGTTGAAATTTGTTCCCTACTGTTGGAAGTGAATCCCTTTTGGAAGGTGTTTGGGTCACTGGGGGCGAATCCCTCATGAATGACTCACTGCCTTCCTCGTCATAAGGAGTGAGTTTTCATTCTATTAGTTCCCGCAAGAGATGGTTGTTAAAAAGAACCTGGCACCTCCCCACGCCTCTTGCTTCCTCTTGTCATGTGATCTCCAAACATGCTGGCTCCTCTGTCCCTTCTGTCATGAGTGGAAGCAGCCTGAAGCCCTCACCAGAAACAGATGCTGGCACCATGCTTCTTGTACAGCCTTCAGAACCTTCAGCCAAGTAACCTCTTTTCTTCTCTGTGGCCCAGGTTGGAGTGCAGTGGTGTAATCACAGCTCACTGCAACCTTGAACTCTTGGGCTGAAATTATCCTCCCATCTCAGCCTTCTGAGTAGCTAGGACTACAGGCATGTGCTACCATGCCTATTATTTTTTCTTTTTAATGGAGATGAGGTCTCTGGGAAAACTATGGTGACTTGACAACACCCTGAGAATCCACTTTCTACAAA
This sequence comes from Homo sapiens, assembly GCF_000001405.40. Classification (NCBI taxonomy): domain Eukaryota; kingdom Metazoa; phylum Chordata; class Mammalia; order Primates; family Hominidae; genus Homo; species Homo sapiens. Next base: position 112,654,621 of record NC_000007.14, on the reverse strand, counting down.
AAGATTGTTCTGTGTGCTGAAATTAACTCTATCAAATATGCTATAAGCAAATTAGTAGGATATATGTTCTGCCTGTCCTCAGTTATACACTAGGCAAATGCAAAGTGACAATGGGCCAAAAGCCTCTAATATGTCTGGCTTATTTCACTTAGCATATCTTCCAGGTCCATCCACTTTGCTGTAAATGACAGAATGTCCCTTTTTTGGGGGGAACCAAGGTTGAAGAGTTTTCCTTTGTAAGTGTGTGTGTGTGTGTGTGTGTGTGTGTGTGTGTATACATATATACAAATTTTATTTGTCTATTCATTCATCAGTGGATACTTAGATTGATTCCATGTCTTGGCTATTGTGGTTAATGCTACAATGAACATAGGGATGCAGATATCTCTTCCAAATACTACTTATATTTCCTTCAGATATATATCCAGAGATGAGATTGCTGGATCAAATGAATGATAGGTTTATTTTTAATTTTTTGAGGAAACTTCATACTGTTTTTTATAATGGCTGCACTAATTTACATTCCCACCAACAGTGTACAAGGGTTCCCATTTCACCACATCTTCATAAACATCTGTTATCCTTTGTATCCCTTGTATTTTTTATAACGGCCACTCTAACAGGTCTGAGGCAATATCTCATTGTGGTTTGATTTGCATTTCCCTGATAATTAGTAATACTGAGCATCTTTTCATATACCTATTGGCCATTTGTATATCTTCAGGTCTTTTTCCCATTTTAAAATCAGATTGTTTGTGTTTGCTATTATATTGTATGAGTTCCTTTTGTATTTTGGATATTAGCCTCTTATCAGATATATGGTTTGCAAATATTTTCTCCCATTCCCTAGGGTACCTTTTCATTTAGTTGTTTCCTTTATCAAACAGAAGCTGTTTGGTTTGATGTAGATCAACTTGTTTATTTTTTCTCTTGTGGTCTGTGCTTTTGGTGTCATATCCAAACAAATCATTGCTAAGACCAAGGACAGAGAATATTTTCCCTATGTTTTCTTCTAGAAGTTTTTGGTTTGGGTTTGATATTTAAGTCTTTAATTCATTTCAAGTTAATTTTTTTGTGTGATATAAGATAGAGGTCAAGTTCATTTCTTTTTGCATATAGATATCCAGTTTTCCCAACATCATTTATTGAAGAGATTATTCTTTCTGCAATGTATGTTCTTGATACCCTTGTAAAATATTAGTTGACTGCATAGGCATGGGTTCATTTCTGGTCTCTCTATTCTGTTGCATTGGTCAGCATTTCTGATTTTATGCCAGTACCATACCATTTTTATTACTATAGCTTTGTAAAATAACTTAAAATCAGAATGTCTGATGCCTCCAACTTTGCTCTTCTCTCTCAAGATTGCTTTGGCTATTTGGGGTCTTTTGTAGTTCCATATGAGTTTTAGGATTGTTTTTTCTATTTCTGTGAAAAGTGGAATTGGAATTTTGATAGGGGTTCTTCCAAAACATTGGATGTTTTTCCATTTATTGGTGTCTTCTTCAATTTCTATCATCAACATCACATAGTTTTCAATATACAGATCTTTCACCCCTTGGTTAAATTTATTCATAAGGATTTTGTTGTTTTTGATTTTGATGTTATTGTAAATGATATAGTTTTTCTTTTTCAGATAGTGTGTAGACATGCAACTGATTTTTATTGATTTTGTACCCTGTAGCTTTACTAAATTTCTTATTTCTATAGTTTTCTTTGGTGGAGCCATTAGGGTTTTATATAGATAAGATCATGTCATCTGCAATCAGAGGCAATTTAACTTTTCCCTATTTGATGTGGTTGCCTTTTATTTCTTTTTCTTGCCTCTTGCAATGGCTAGGACTTTCAGTACTATGTTGAATAGAAGGAGCAAGAGTGGGCATCCTGACTTGCCCCTAGTCTTAGAGAAAAATTTTCAGCTTTTCAACATTGAGTATGATGTTAGCTGTGTGCCTGTTATATATGGTCTTTATCATGTTTAGGTATATTGCTTCTATACCCAATTTTTAAAATTTTTACAATGAAAGAACGTTGAATTTTGTCAAATGCTTTTTTTGCACCTACTGAAATGATCACATGATTTTTATCCTCCATTTTGTTAAAGTGTTGTATCATACTTATTGATTTGGTATATCATGCCACCCTTACATGCCTGGAATAAATTCCACTTGATCATGGTGTATGCTCCTTTTAATGTATTGTTGAATTTTGCTAGTATTTTGTTTGCTAGTATTTGGTTGAGAATTTTTATATCTATTTTCATCAGGGATATTGGCCTGTAATTTCCTTTCCTTGTAGTATCCATATCTGGCTTTGGTGTTGGGGTAATGCCGGCCTCATTGAACAGGTTTGGAAGTGTTTCCTCCTCTTTAATTTTTTGGAAGTTTGAAAAGAATTGGCATTAACTGCTCATTAAATATTTGGTGGAATCCATCAGTGATACCATCGGTCCTGTTCTCTTCTTTGTTGGGTAGTTTTTAATTAACAATTCAATCTCCTTACTCTTTACTGGTGTGTTTAGATTTTCTATTTCTTTATGAGTCAGTCTTGGTAGGTCGTATATTTCTAGAAAAGGTTACCCAATTTGTTGGTATATAATTGTTCATAGTAATCTCTTATGACCCTTTGTGGTTGGATGGTATCAGTTGTAATGCCTTCTCTTTCATTCATAATTTGATTTCAATCCTCTCTTTATTTCTTGGTTATCTAGCTAAATTTGCCAATTTTGTTTGTCTTTTCAAAAATCAAAGTCTTCATTTTGTTAATCTTTTATATTGTCTTTCTAATCTGTATTTCATGTGTTTTGTTCTTATCTTTATTACTTTGTTTATTCGGCTAAGTTTGAGATTTCTTCTTCTTCTTCCTTGATGTTTAAAGTTAGGTTATTTGAGATCTTTCATTTTTCTTGACATAGGCATTTATTGCTATATTAAGAACTGGTTTTGCTGCATCCCATAAGTTTTAGTATGTTGTGTTTCCATTTTATTTGTCTCAAGATATTTTTTAAATTTCCTTTTTGGTTTCTTCTTTTTCCCATTGGTTGTTCAGAAATGTGTTGCATAATTTCCACATATTTGTGGTTTTCCATTTTTCTCCTGTCATTGATTTCCAGTTTTATACCATTGTGGTCAGAAAAGATACTTGATATGATTGCAATCTTCTTAAAAAATTTTAAGACTTGTTTTAAGTCCTAACATTTGATCTTTACTTGGATAATATGTAATCTGCTGCTTTTGGATAGAATGTTCTGTATTTGTCTGTTAGAGCCACTTGGTCTACAACATTGTTTAACTCTTCTGTTCCCTTACTGATTTGCTGTCATTGTGGAAGGTGGGTATTGAAGTCCCCTACCACTATTGTATTACTATCTATTTCTCCTCCCTCCAGTTCTGTTAATATTTCCTTTATATATTTAGGTACTCCAGTTTTGGGTACATATATATTTACAATTGTTATATCCTCTTGACGACATGACCCCCTTGTCATTGTATAATGGCCCTCTTTGTCTCTTGTCACAGTTCTTGACTTAAAGTCTATTTTGTCTAAGTAGCCACCCCAACTTTCTTTAGATTACCATATGCATGGGATATTATTTTCCATTCCTTCACTTCCAGCTTATGTGTGTCTTTTTTTTATTTTTTAATTTTTATTTGCCAAATTATTTCTCACTTGAGACCTATGCATGTCTTTAAACTGAAAGTGAGTCTCCTATATGCAGCATAGTTGGATCTTGGTTTTTAAAATCCATTTGGCCACTCTATGTTTCTTGATTAGATAACTTAATCCACTTATATTTAATTATCAATAGGCAAGGACTTACTACTGCCATTTTGTTGTTTTCTGCTTTGGAGTTCCTCTCTTCCCTTCTTCTTTTGCTGTTTTCCTTTGTGATTTTATGACTTTTTATGGTGGTATGCTTGGATTCCTTTATCTTAATTTTTTCTGTATCAACTACACATATTTCCTTTGTGGCTATCATGAGGCTTATTTAAAAATAGTTTACAGTTATAACATTTTATTTTAAGCTCATAATAGGTTGAATCACATCAAAAAAAACTCTATACTTTTAATTCTCCTCACCAAGTCACATTTAAGGTTATTAATGTTACAATTTACATCTGTTTAATATTGTGTATTCATTAACAAATTATTGCAGTTAAAGTTACTTTTAATATTTGTCTTTAAACTTTTACACTAGAGTTGAAAGTGATTTACATAACACTATTTCAATATTAGAAAATTCAGAATTTAACTATATACACTTGCCCCTCACTGTTTGTGGTGGATTGATTCCAGAACTTTCTGTGGATACCAAAATTTTCAGATGCTCAAATCCCTGATAAAAAGTGGCATAATATTTGCATATAACCTATGCACATTTTCCAACGTTAAATCATCTCTAATTTACCTATAATACCTAATAAAGTGTAAATACTATATAAATAGTTGTTACACTGTATTGTCTAGGGAAGAATGACAAGAAAAATGTCTGCACATCTTCAATACTGATGTGATTTTTTTCTAATATTTTAAATCTGTGGTTGGTTGACTTGACAGATGTGAAACCCAAAGATATAGAGGGCTGACTGTATTTACCTTTCCCAGTGAGTTTTATACATTCATATATTTTTACATTGTTAATTATAATCATTTCATTTCAGATTGAAAAACTCCCTTAACTCCCTTTAGCATTTCTTGTAAGGCAGGTCTAGTAGTAATAAACCCCCACAGCTTTTGTTTGGGAAAGTCTTTATCTTTCCTTCATTTCTCAAGGACAACTTTCCTGGGTATAGTATTCTTGGCAGTTTTACTGCTTTCAATATTTTTAATATATGACCCTACTCTCTCCTGGCCTGCAAGGTTTCTGATGAGTAATCCAGTGACAATCTGATGGAGACTCCCTCATATGTGATGAGTCACTTTTCTCTTGGTACTTTCAAAATTCTCTCTTTGCCTTTGAATTCTGCTAATTTACTTGCTGTATACCTCTTTGAGATCAAACTATTTGAGAACCTTTGGGTCTAATGAATCTCAATGTCCATTTCTCTCCCCAAATTTGGGAAGTTTACAGTCATTATTCTTTAAAATAGACTTTCTTCCCATTCTCTCTCCCATTCTAGGACTCCCATTATATGTATATGTTTTGCTTATACTGTCCTATAAACCCTATAGGGTTTCTTCACTGTTTTTCATTTTTTTGATTTTTTACTCCTCTGGATAATTTCAAAGGATGTCTTCAAGTTCACTGATTCTTTCTTCTGCTTGCCTGAGTCTATCAGCTCTTTATTGAACTTTTTAGTTGAAGAATTCCGTTCTTCAGCTTTCTTTGTTGAACATTTCATTTGTTCATGTATTGTTTTCCTAATTTTGTTTAGTTGCCTATCTGTGTCTTCTTGTAGTTACAAACTTCTTTAATAGGGTTATTCTGAATTCTTTGCCAGTCAGTTTATAGATACTTATTTCTTTAGAGTCAGTTATTGAAGCTTTATTTGTTTTCTTTGGTAATGTCATGTTCCTCTGATTCTTCGTGATGCTTGCATCCTTGCATTGGTGTCTATGCATTTGACTAAGCTGTTCCCTCTTCCAGACTTTATAAGTTTACTTCATTCGGAAAAGACCTTCATGAGTCATCCCAGCCTGGAGTGGGATAGGCCATCTGGTAGTAATCATGGATAGATGAGGCTTGCTGCCAGAGTCTCTGATTGGGCAGGGCCAGTGCCTGTGTTATGAGGTCAAGTGGGGGTTATTGGCTGGGGTCCTTGGTCAGGTGAGTCTATTAGCTATGCTCTGTGGTCAAGCAGAGCCACTGGCTGGACACTGCAATTGGGCATGGCCATAGTCTGTGCCTCAAAGTTGAGCAACATAACTGGTTGGGTCCCTTGCCTAGGTAGGGCTGCTAACTGTGTTCCTTGGATGGGAAGGGTCACTGGCCAGGCTTCTTTGTCAGGCAGGGCTATAGGCTGTGCTCTGCTAGTTGGTGTGGTTATAGTCTGGGCTCTGTGGCTAGGCCAGACTACTAACCAGCAATCTCAGCTGGGCAGAACTCTGACCATCCTTGTTGGCCAGTTGGGGCAGCTGACTTAGTTCTGTGGGTGGGCAGAGCCAGTGGCTGGTCTCTCTGGTTAGTCAAGGCTGCTGGCAGGGATCTAGTGCCAGCACTAAGATTTGTCTGCTGGTAGCTATAAGCTCTGCCTCCCTTCTTTTGTACCTAGCCCACCCCTTGTGCTCTAGCCGTGCCAATTCCCTCAGTGTTCCTCATGAAGTCAGATACAAGTGGGCCTCCTGGGGAGCACTCTGAAATGCTAGGGAAGCTGACTACCTCAAGCTCCCTTTTTCTCACTGGAGAAACCGTAAGCCCGAAGGGTCCCTCTTGGAGTGGCACTGTGCCAGGCTGTGAGAGGGGCAACATCGTCAAAATGTGACTTGTAAGGTGACTTTTCTCAGTTTTTGTACTCCAAGGCACTGCTTCAGCCTCACCTCCCCTGTCCCTTCTCCCCACTACGTCTTGGGTTCTGGGATTTTTCACAAAGGCATTCTTGTCTGTGGATAGTTGCCAATCAGTATTTCTGTGAAAGAAACTAAAGTCAGTGACCTTCTATTTTGCCATCTTGTTAACACAGACAAAATTCTGAAAAAACGATCACCCTCATCTTGGTAAGAACAATCTGGGGTGTGTGGCAATCTGTGAGAAAAACAACACCTAAGAGGAGCCCATCTTCCCTACGATAAGTGGACAAAGATCAGCCTGAGCTGAAAAAATCATAGAGATCATGCTCTTTATATATTTCTGCCAGCAGAAGAAAATTGAAAATTGCATTTAGGGGGTGGTGCCAAAATGGCCAATAGAAGCCACGGCATTTGGAGGCTTCCATTGAATAAAATCACAACAAGCATGTGAATCCTTCACTGGCAACCAAGGTATCCAGGTTCTTTCATCAAAATTGACTACTTCGGGAGGCCGAGGCGGGGAGATCACAAGGTCAAGAGATTGAGACTATCCTGGCCAACATGGTGGAACCCCATCTCTACTAAAAATATAAAAATTAGCTGGGGGTGGTGGCACATGCCTGTAGTCCCAGCTACTCAGGAGGCTGAGACAGGAGAATCGTTTGACCCCAGGAGGCAGAGGTTGCAGTGAGCTAAGATCGTGCCACTGCACTCCAGCCTGGCAACAGAGCGAGACTCCGTTTAAAAAAAAAATTTTTTTTTGACTAGAAGGCTAGCATGAGCCACAGAGAGAAGGAAGAGCAGTGTGGTGCGGCAGCCCACCTGAGAGCCACATGGGGCAGGGAAGCCCACACCCCACAGCCAAGGGAGGCAATGAGTGATCACGCTACCTAACCGGGGAAACTGTGCTTTTTCCACGGAACTATGCAACCCACGGATTGGAAGATCCCACTTGTGGACCCACGCCACCAGGGCCTAGCGTCCCCCAGCCCAGACGTGCAGATTCCTACAGCCTCTCAGCTGGAATCTGCTTAGGCCTACCAAACTCCTGGGGGAGGGGTGACTAGCACCAGCTGTGGTTGTCTGCTGTCTAAGCCTTTTGAGTACCTTGGGGGAGGGGCAACAGCCAGCACCGGGACTCACAACTGCCTAACACGCTCAGCTCCCTGGGAGGGGAAAGGGCGACATCTGTTTCTATAGCTCCAGGCTGCACTTTTCCCCTGCTGGAGCCAGGGAGGCTGGACGGCTTGGTCCCAAGACTTGTCCCCACAGCCCAACACACCAGCTGTGACAGTCTGTGGCCAGAGGGCCTCTTAAAGCCTAACCCTGAACCATCCTTCCTCAGTGGGTGGGGCTTCCCTGCTGGATCTCTAATAACTCCAGCCAGAGGCTAGGGACAGAATTCAAATCTCCCTGGGCCTAAGCCCCTGGTCGGGGGCAGGGTAGCCACAGTCTCTGTGGACCAGCAGACTTAGCCTCTCCTGTTAATTCTAAGGAATCCAGGCAGCCTAGATGAGTGGGTTTCCCCTGAGAAACACACCTTCTCCACCAAGGGAAAAATTGCTTCATTAAATGGGTCCTGCTCCCCATGCCACCCAACTGGCTGAGACCCTCCAACAGGGGTTGTCAGACACCCTATACAGGAGTGATCCTACTAGCATCATGTTGGTGCCCCTCAAGGTCAGAGGTCCCAGAAGGAGGAGACACCCATCTTTGCTGCTCTCCAGTCTCCTTGAGTGACATCTTCAGGCACAGGAGCAAATCAGATGAATAGGGCCTGAAGTGAATGCCCAGCAAATAGCAGCAGGCCTACGAAGAAGGACCAGACTACTGAAAGAAAAACAAACAAGCAGAAACCAACAACAACAGCATCAACAACAACAACAAAAAGGCCCCCACAAAATCCCCATCCAAGGGTCAGCAGCCTTAAAGACTGAAACTAGACAAACTCACAAAGATGAGAAAGAATCAATGAAAAAATGCTGAAAACCCAAAAGGCCAGAGTGCTTCTTCTCCTCCAAATGATAGCAATGTCTCTCCATCAGGGCACAGAATTGGATGGGAAATCAGATGGATGAATTGATAGAAGTAGGCTTCTGAAGATGGGTAGTAAAAAAACTACGATGAGCTAAAGGAGCATGTTCTAACCCACTCCAAACAAGCTAAGAAACTGATAAAAAGTTAGAGGAATTGCTGACTAGAAAAACCAGTTTAGAGAGAAACAAAAATGACCTGATGGAGCTGAAAAATACAGCAAGAGAACTTCATGAAGCATACACAAGTATCAACAGCCAAATCAACCAAGCAAAAGAAAGGATATCCGAGTTTGAAGACCACCTTACTGAAATAAGACATGCAGACAAGAATACAGAAAAAAAGAATGAAAGCAACAAACAAAGCCCCCAAGAGATATGAGACTTCATAAAAACACAGAACCTACAATTGATTAGAGTACCAGAAAGAGACAGGGAGAATGGAAACAAGCTGAAAAACACACTTCAGGATATTATCCAGGAGAACTTCCCCAACCTAGCAAGACAGGCCAACATGCAAATTCAGGAAATACAGAAAACACCATTAAGATACTCCATGAGAAGATCAACCCCAAGACACATAATCATCAGATTCTCCAAGGTTGAAATGAAGGAAAAGTTGTGAAGGGCAGCCACAGAGAAAGGCCAGGCCACCTACAAATGGAAGTCCATCAGACTAACAGTGGACCTCTCAGCTGAAACCCTACAAGCCAAAAGAGATTGGGGGCCAATATTCAACATTCTTAAAGAATTTTCAACACAGAATTCCATATCCAGCCAAACTAAGCTTCATAAGAGAAGGAGAAATAAAATCCTTTACAGACAAGCAAATGCTCAGGGATTTCATTACCAGCAGGCCTTCCCTGCAAGAGGTCCTGAAAGAAACACTAAATATGGAAAGGAAAAACTGGTTCTAGCCCTGCAAAAACACACCAAAATATAAAGACCAATGATACTACAAAAAAAAAACTGCATCAACTAGTGTGCAAAATAACCAGCTAGCATCACAATGACAGGATCAAATTCAAACATAACAACTAACCTCAAATGTGTATGGACTAAATGTCCCAATTAAAAGACACAGACTGGCAAATTGGATAAGGAGTCAAGACCCATCGCTGTGCTTTATTCAAGAGACCCATCTTATGTGCAAAGACACATACAGGCTCAAAATAAAGGGATGGAGGAAAATTTACCAAGCAAATGGAAAGCAAAAAAAAAAAAAAAAGCATGGGTTGCAATCCTAGTCTCTAACAAAACAGACTTTAAACCATCAATGATCAAAAAAGACAAAGAAGGGCATTACATAATGGTAAAGGGTAAAATTTGACAAAAGAGCTAACTATTCTAAATATATATGCACCCAATACAGGAGCACTCAGATTCATAAAACAAGTTCTAGAGATTTACAAAGAGACTTAGACTCACACACAATAATAGTGGAAGACTTTAGCAACCCACTGTCACTATTAGACACATCAATGAGACAGAAAATTAACAAGGATATTCAGAACTTGAACTCCCCTCTGGATCAAGTGGGCCTATTAAACGACTATAGAACTCTCTACCTAAAATCAACAGAATATACATTCTTCTCAATGCCACATGGCACTTATTCTAAAATTGACCACATAATTGGAAGTAAAACACTCCTCAGAAAATGCAAAAAAAACTGAAATCATAACAGTCTCTCAGACCATGGTGCAATCAAATTAGAACTCAGGATTAAGAAACTCACTCAAAACCACACAATTACAAGGAAATTGAACAACTTGCTCCTGAATGACTCCTGCATAAATAATGAAATTAAGGCAGACATCAAGAAGTTCTTTGAAACCAGTGAGAACAAAGAGACAACATACCAGAATTTCTGGGACACAGCTAAAGCAGTGTTAAGAGGGAAATGTATAGCAATAAATACCCATATCAGAAAGCTAGAAGGATCTCATATTGACATCCTAACATCATAATTAAAAGAGCGAGAGAGGCAAGAGCAAACTAATCCAAAAGCTAGCAGGAGACAAGAAATAACTAAGATCAGAGAAGAATTGAAGGAGATAGAGACACAAAAAAACCCTTCAAAAAGTCAATGAATCCAGGAGCTGGTTTTTTGAAAACACTAACAAAATAGATAGACTGCTAGCTAGACAAATAAAGAAGAAAAGAGAAAAGAATCAAATACACACAATAAAAAATGATAAAGGGGATATCACCACTGACCCCACAGAAACACAAACTACCATCAGAGAATACTATAAACACCTCTATGCAAATAAACTAAATAGTCTAAAAGAAATGGATAAACTCCTGGATGCATACACCCTACTAAGATTAAACCAGGAAGAAGTTGAATCCCTAAATAGACCAATAACAAGCTCTGAAATTGAGGCAGTAATTAATAACCTATCAACTGAGAAAAGCCCAGGACCACACAGATTCACAGCTGAATTCTACCAGAAACACAAAGAGGAGCTGGTACCATTCCTTCTGAAACTACTCCAAACAATTGAAAAGGAGGGACTCCTCCCTAACTCATCTTATGTAGCGAGCATCATCCTGATACCAAAACTGGGAAGAGACACAACAAAAAAAGAAAACTTCATGCCAATATCGCTCATGAACATCGACACAAAAATCTTCAGTAAAATACTGGCAAACCGAATCCAGCAGCACATCAAAAACCTTAACCACCATCATCAACTCAGGTTCATCCCTGGGATGCAAGGCTGGTTCAACATACACAAATCAATAAAGTAATCCATCACATAAACAGAACCAACAACAAAAACCACATAATTATCTCAATGGATGCAGAAATGGCCTTTGATAAAATTCAACATAACTTCATATTAAAAACTCTCAATAACTAGGGATTGATGGAACATATCTTAAAATAACAAGAGCTATCTATGACAAACCCACAGCCAAAATCATATTGAATGGGCAAAAACTGGAAGCATTCCCTTTGAAAACTGGCACAAGACAAGGATGCCCTCCCTCACCACTCCAATTCAACATAGTATTGAAAGTTCTGTCCAGGGCAATCAGTCAAGAGAAAGAAATAAGGGGTATTCAAATAGGAAGACAGGAAGTCAACTTGTCTCTGTTTGCAGATGACATGATGGTCTATTTAGAAAATCCCATCATCTCAGTCCAAAAACTTCTTGAACTGATAAGCAACTTCAGCAAAGTTTCAGGATACAAAATCAATGTGCAAAATCACAAGCATTCCTTTACACCAAGAATAGGCAAGCAGAGAGCCAAATCATGAGTGAACTCCCATTCACAATTACTACAAAGAAAATAAAAGACCTAGGAGTACAGCTAACAAGGCATATTAAGGACCTCTTCAAGGAGAACTACAAACCACTGCTCAAGGAAATAAGAGAGGACACAAACAAATGGAAAAACATTCCATGCTCACGGATAGGAAGAATCCATGTCGTGATAATGGTCATACTGCCAAAAGTGATTTATAGATTCAGTGCTATTCCCATCAAACTACCATTGACATTCTCCACAGAATTAGAAAAAAACTATTTTAAATTTCATATGGAACCAAAAAAAGAGCCTGCATAGCCTAGACAATCCTAAGCAAAGAGAACAAAGCTGGAGGCATCACGTTACCTGACTTCAAACTATACTACAAGGCTACGGTAACCAAAACAGCATGGTACTGGTACCAAAACACACATATAGACCAATGGAGCAGAACAAAGACCTCAGAAATAACACCACACATCTACAACCATCTGATCTTCAGCAAACCTACCAAAAACAAGCAATGAGGAAAGGATCTCCTATTCAGTAAATGGTGCTGAGAAAACTGGCTAGCCATATGCAGAAAACAAACTGGACCCCTTTTTACACCTTATACAAAAATTAACTCAAGATGGATTAAACACTTAAATGTAAAACACCAAACCATAAAAACCCTCGAACAAAATCTAGGCAATACCATTAAGGACATAGGCACGGGCAAAGACTTCATGACAAAAGTGGGAAAAGAAATTGTGACGAAAGCCAAAATTGAGAAATGGGATCTAATCAAACTAAAAAGCTTCTGCACAGCAAAAGAAACTATCATCAGGGTGGACAGGCAATCTCCAGAATAGGAGAAAATTTTTGCAATCTACCCATCTGACAAAGATCTAATATCTAGAATCTACAAGGAACTTAAACATATTTACAAGAAAAAACAAAAAAAAACCATCAAAAAGTGGGCAAAGGATATGAACAGACAAAAAAAGACATTTACACAGCTAAGATACATAAAAAAATGCTCAACATCGCTGATCATCACAGAAATGCAAATCAAAACCACAATGAGATACCATCTCATGCCAATCAGAATGGTGATTATTAAAAAGTCAGGAAACAATAGATGCTGGAAGCTGTGGAGAAACAGGAATGCTTTTACACTGTTGGTGGGAATGTAAATTACTTCAACCATTGTGGAAGACAGTATGGTGAATTCTTAAGGATCTAGAACCAGAAATACCATTTGACTCAGCAATCCCATTACTGGGTATATACCCAAAGGAATATAAATCATTCTACTATAAAGACACATGAACACATATGTTTATTGCAGCATTATTTACAATACCAAAACATGGAAGCAACCCAAATGCCCATCAGTGATAGACTGGATAAAGAAAATGTGGTACATATACACCATGGAATACTATGCAGCAGTAAAAAGGAATGAGATCATGTCCTTTGCAGGGACATGGATGAAGCTAGAAGCCATTATCCTCAGCAAACTAACACAGGAATAGAAAACTGAACACCATATGTTCTTACTTGTAAGTGGGAGTTGAACATTGAGAACACATGGATGCAGAGAGGGGAACAACACACACCAGGGCTGTTGGGGGGTGGGGGGTGAAGGGAAGGAACTTAGAGAACAGGTCAATAGGTGCAGCAAACCACCATGACACATGTATACTTATGTAACAAACCTGTACATTCTGCACATGTATCCTTTTTTTTTAGAAAAAATAAATTTTAAAAAACCCCACAAATATTGCATTTACGTTTTCATGATCTTTATTTGCATTAAACTGCTCATTTACATCTGTAATAGACTTGATGATGGCCCCTCTTAATATTAAAGTACATATGTGAGAAGGATTTAGTCTGAGACCATAGTTCAAATCATAAATGGCTCTTTTGGTTTCTTTGCATGAATTCCACACAAGAGCTCTAACACAGTGCACACCTTGTAAAACACAAAGGTCATCCAAAAAAACGTAGTTAATCTTTAAGCTTCAAAGAAATGGAATGAAATCAAACAGGGTTGTACTAATTGTACAGCCATGCAGGTTGTGCACTGGAAACCCAGAGGAGCCATTTACATGATTTAAACTTAGACATAACTTTAACCAATCAGTTCTCTGGATTTTAGTGTCCTCATCTGCAAAATGAGAAAGTTGGAATAGTATCTTCCAGGCTTCTCCAGCTATAGAACTACAATTATCTTCTACGCACATTTACAACTATTACCATTAGCTCTGCTTTTCTTTTCAGTAAACTGCGTATATCATTTGATGGAAAGTTGTTAATAATATTAATGCCACATTTTATCAGCCTATTTCTCTGAAAATGAAGTTCTTTTCCATAAGGCAAATTTTATGGAGATGATGTGCAGAAGTGAGTCAGCCATAGAATAAGGTTATTGGTTACAAACATTCTTTAACTTGTTTAAGTCATTCTAAATTTCATTTTGTATCCCATGATACACAATTCCTCCTGACTTAAAAACTAGTCAGAGAGATATACCATGGCACAGACATACATAAAAATAGGGATAAGTAATCACAACATGTAAAAAACAGCAAGCATAATGATAAAGGAAAAAAATCACAGTAGTGCACCATTAATTGTCATTTATTTTGCAATTAAAATGTATCAAACCTACCAGGTTCAGATTGTCCAAAGAAATAGCTTTGTTAGCATCCTTTACTGCTTCTTTCATCTGTCATAAATCAATGCAGAGAATGTCTAGAGTAAGTATATTTTTCCATAGTTTTCCTTTACATTTTATTTCCAAGGGGAAACTAGATAACAAATGCATATAATATTCTAATTAATATTCACCTATGTGGCATGTTCAGAGATAGTTGGAATTCACTTAAAAGTTACCATATATTTATAAAGTGAGAAAAGGTTTTTAAAAATAAAAATGAGCTATTGGGGTGATCTAAAAGCAGTTGATGGTAGTAAGAGACATTTCACCTCAAACTAGACAAGGAGAGTTGGCTTTGGACATAGCTTATATTGGAGATAAAGATCAGCAGATATAAAAGGGCAAAAGATAGAAGAAAGTAGAAGATTAGTCTGTAAAACTGGCTTTAAGAATCTTTTTACTTCTTCAAAGTAATAGAAAATTAATAAAATCCTTGATAAGGCTTTGACAAAGCTTGATAAGATAAAATATAATTCTCTCCCCCTTGAACAATATTTTAACTGTTTGCATAGATTGTTTGGAGATGAAAGTGGAGATTATCAAGGGCTTTTGCTTCCTGCTATTGTATAAGTTATCTATTGCTGAGTAACAAATTACTACAGCACAAAGACCCTAGCCCAGGCTGGGTTCTCATCTGGAAGCTCAACTAGGGAAGGATACATTTCCCTGCTCATGTTGTTATTGGAAGCATTCATTTTCACTTTCTTGTAGCTACAAGGTTCACGAAGGCTTACTTGTTTAAAAATAAAAAGGCAGAGAGAGAGAGAGACAGTATGCTAGTAAGACAGACTAACATAATATAATGAACTCATAGGAGTCATATTCCATCACCTTTGTAACATTTTATTGTTTAGAATCAAGTCAGAGGTTCTGCCTGCACTCAAATGGAGGTGATTACAGAAGGGAGGCTCAGTTAGGGTAGAATCTGCCTGCCTGCTTGTAAATGGTTGTTGGCAGCATTCAGCTTCTTGTGGCTACAGAATGCATGGCAACTTACTTCCTCAAAACCAGCAAGAGGAGAGAGGGAGTGAGTCTGCTACCAACATTGAGTATTGTAGAATGTAGTATAATCATAGGAGTAATATATCATCACCCTTCCATATTCTATTCATTCGAATGCAGTCACTGTTTTTGGCCACACTTACAGAGAGAGAATTACATGTGAACACCAGGAGGCAAGGACCATGGGGGTCACCTTGGATCTTTCACTCTTTCCCAAAAGTCACTAATCGCTTCTATTGGTCCCTCACATCCTATCTTCACACCAAATGAAAGTATTGGAAATCCCCCAAACATGGTACAGACTTTCACATCTCTGAGCCTTTGTACATTCTGTTTCTTCTAACTGAAATGTCATTTGGCCCACTTCTAGTTGTCAGTGCATGTATGTGTTTGTTAAGTTTCTTAATATTCAAGAACAAAAGCCAGCCCTGCCCTCAACCCAGCTGCCTGTCAAAATACTGGGTTCTACTTCTATCAATAATACAGATTCTATTTCAGGTTCTTAGCAGAGCATATAAATTTGGCCTATCCGCAGCAAGAAAAGCTATCTATGGGAGGTTCCAGGAAATATGAAACAGGGTCTGTGATCCTCTAATAATATTTAATTATAGTCTTGACTTAATATTTAATTCCTGATCTTGAATGCAGCCCCTACCATGTTCCCAGTTTAGCTCTCTTCTTTCTAGCTTTAGTTAGAACTGCTTGTGAACATTCAGAGCCCTGCTTCCAGGTCAAGCCTGGACCAGGTCTATAGACTCACCCCTTCCCAGCATCTCCCCACCCAAAACTCCCCATCTATGAAAACCAAAGAGTTGTTTCTTTGGAGGATCACATTAACTTAATCTGCACTCTACACTACTGGATTAATTAAATTATTTACTCACTCAATTAATGTATCTCGACTCTTTACCCTCTGCAGATGCTTGGTATACAGTGATAAACAAGACATGGTCTCTGTTCTGAATGACTCATAATGCAGTAAGGGAGACATATATGAGCAAATAATGGTTATGTGTTTGTCATGTACTACAGAAAATATTTTCATACAAAGGCATGGAATCAAGCAAAGGCCTCCTGGAATTAAGGAAAGAAAACAATGGGCTGTGTCTAGGTATGAAGTGCATGAGGAAGAGGTGAAAAATAGAAATACAAGAGTTAAAAATTGGGTGACCACTGACCAATATGTTTTTTTAAAAGATAACTTTTGGGGGGACAACAGTCACAAGATCCTCAGAGTGTGATAAAGACTGCTACAGTTAAGTGACTCAGATTTATTGACAAGGCTTAGGAGAGTTAGTCCCAGACATGAGAAAAAATTTACCATTAAGCACTAGATGAATTCTAAGATTACACCAGATTACAACAGCTAACTGTTGAAGTTTGGCATCATTCACTCAAAGTGTATATGTGATTTTAAAAACTTTACAAAGGATGTTTATGAGTAATAATTAGAGATTTTTTTTAAAATTAGAGTTGTGAAGAAAAATTGACTGTATTTCCTATTATCTCCATTTACACTCAAGGCAAATACATAGGTAGCTTGCTAAGTCACAGTTTAAGACATCACCTTTTATTTGGAGAAAAATATATGGATTACAGAAGCAATGACTAAGAAG
The DNA here is from genome assembly GCF_000001405.40 of Homo sapiens. Taxonomy (NCBI): domain Eukaryota; kingdom Metazoa; phylum Chordata; class Mammalia; order Primates; family Hominidae; genus Homo; species Homo sapiens. The sequence continues at coordinate 112,637,552 of NC_000007.14, read as the reverse complement.
AAACATTCAGGCACCCTTCAATTTCCAAACACATGAAGATACGCTAAATTTTACAAAACTAAGACCATAGTTTAAATCTGAAAGAGTAATGTAAAAAGTGAGCATTAATCATTTTTATGTTAAAAGTATACAAAAGGGCAGTAAAGAACCTTTATTCAAATAAAATACTGCATCATTCATGAAACAGTATGAAAACCATGACTATGATAGAAAAGGAGTACGTTTGGGAGTATGACAAGGATTTTTTGAATAATAATGTCTGTACTTAATAGCTATGTGATTTTAGACAAGTTACTGAACCACTTTAAAAAAGGTTTACTTATTTTTTCTCCAATGTTTTCATTGTAGTAAAATATACAGAACAAAATTTAGTGTCTTAACCATGTTTAAGTGTAGAGTTCAGTGGTATTAAATACATTGATAATGTTGTAACAAAAAGAAAAAAAAAGGAAAATTGGACTTTATCCTGCAGACGGTAAAGAGCCACCAAAGATTTTTTAATATAAAAGCTAAAAAATATGCATATTATTTTTTTGAGACAGAGCCTCCCTCTGTCACCCAGGCTGGAGTGCAGTGATGTGATCTCAACTCACTGCAACCTCCACCTCCCAGGTTCAAGTGATTCTCCTGCCTCAGCCTCCCGAGTAGCAGGATTACAGGCGCACACCACCACGCCTGGCTAATTTTTGTATTTTTGGTGGAGATGGAGTTTCACCATGTTGGCAAGGCTGGTTTTGAACTCCTGACCTCAAGTGATCTGCCCACCTCAGCCTCCCAAAGTGCTGGGATTACAGGTGTGAGCCACCGTGCCCAGCTGAAAGCTAAATATTTTTAAATATTGTTTGAAGAAGATAACTCTGGAAGAAGCTATCAAAAAGCTAATATAATATTTCAAGTGTAGAAATAGAGACTCAACTCAAGAAGCACTATAGAGGTTCAGGTGATAAAAGCTGACAGTCTCTGAATGAAGGAGAGAGAGGAGTCTGGAATAACTTTGAGGTGTTTCTCTTAGGAAAATGTTTGGAATTCAGAAACATTAATTAAGATGGGGAACAGAAAAAGAGATGCAGGCTTAGGAAGAAAAGCTCAGAAATGTAGAATCTTACATAAAATTGGATGTAGTTTGAGCTCAAGCTATTTGCATTATTCTCTGCTTAACCTACAGAACTGGATGTCTCTCCAAGTTAGGTTTTAGAAAATCTAGGAGGTGAACGATAGAAAGTGATTTCCATCTATCTTTCAAGGCATGAAAGCCTTAGATTTAGGTACATCTATCTTGGCACACATAGCATGGCTTTCCTAAGTAGTGAAAAATCAGTGACCTTTCCATATAAACATGTATTCTGCATTTGCACCTCTGGGTTGAATTGTCTCCGAGGCATATGAAGATGCTGTCTCAGTGCATTTTTTAAATCCCAGTGCTTTAGTCAGGCTGATTGCTTGTGAGTTGTGAATGTATAAAAACATCTGAGTATAGGAAGCATTTGCCATTTCAAAATAATAGCTCTTTGTTAACTACTGCTTATGTATAGTAAGAGTAAGGTCTTTAAGGCAACTTACTTTCATGGAGGAACAGGTTTGTTAGCTTGAAAATTATCAGCCCAGTTCAAAGAGAAATGATGCAACTTACCACATACTGCATGTGAATATGCCATTCTTGAAAACATTGGTGTGTGAAAGAAAATTTCATATTTACAGCCAACATTACAGCCATTCTGGAATTAAGGAAATAGCAATAATACATTATCAATTACATTTTCATTGTTAAATCATTATAACAACATTGAAGAATATATATGGAAAGTAAAAAAAAAAAATCTGTAATCCCACTATCTTTAAATAACTTACAAACCTTTGAAATGTTTCCTTTCAGTCTTCTCTACATAATTGTATGTAATGACAATAGCCTGCATTCTATTTCATATGCTCATTTTCCACTTAAGATTCTAATTAAGGCATTTCTATGTTGCTATGTGATTTTTATTATTATCATTTCTATCAGTTGCATAATTGACTACCACAGAGGTCCACCCTAATTTACCTAATATGATTTTATCAATTTGTTAGATTTTTTCTTCCAATATTTTTCCTGTTGTAGGCAATATTGCAATGAACATCTTTCCCAACAAGGGTTTTCTCTTATTTTACTTTACTTTTAAAAAACAAATTTCTATAAATTGACTTACTAATTATAATAGCATAAGCCTTTTCATGGCTCTTGGTTCATATTGCCAGATTGCTTTTCAAGAGGGTTGCATCAATTTGTCTTCCCACCTGCGAGATATGAAAGCACCATTTTCATGACATTTTCGAGATCATATCCTTTAATTAATTTGAATGTAAAAATAAGTTATTTTGTCTTAATTTACATTCTATGATTACTAGCAACCACAAACATTTTTACTGTTTCCTTAATAGTTCTATTTTTTATTCTTTGATGAAATTGTATTTATGTGTTTGCCAATTATACTGGGATACTGCTTTTTTCCTTATAACTAAATGTACTCTTTGTATGTAATCTTTAGCTCAGATTATACATACTAAAATCTTTTTCTTTGTCTGCTATTTTCTTAATGGTATAATTTTTTAAAGAAATTTAATAATTAACTAGAACTGTTATATATAAAAATTCTTCCCAACAAATCTAATAATATTTTTATACCATAATGGTATTTGCATAATTGGTTCTTTATTCTAAATCAGCACCCTTATTTGTGTTGACAGGACTCTACAAGATTACTCCCAGGACTTTTGCTATTCCTTTAGGGCTGACTTATGCCATCATTCCAAATGTGTTTCCTATAATTGCACTCAGTTCTTAAAAACAACATGAAAACCCAAGTGGCTATAAAAGGAGCTGTAACATTAGTTACACATTAATGTACATTAATTCATATCCTTAGAGATTATAATTTTTAAAACACATTCCATAGACACAAAATTATATTGAACAGCAAATATACTCTCAAAACACAAATACATCAAAAAGAAACCTTTATAAAAATGAAAAATTAGCATTTATTTCAGGTTTAACCACCAGTGGATGTATTTTCAACATCTGTCCATTTGTACAAGTGTGATCAGTACCCAGAGGAAACAACACAACTACCAGGCAAAATGAGAAGATCACAGATCGTAGAATCAGAAAACCTGAGTTCGAATCCAAGCTTTGCCAATTGGCAGCAACTGAGTGAACTTAACCCCATTAAACCACATCTGTTTTCTCATCTACAAAATATAATAATGGCTTTGCCTATGCTCAGCACAGGGAGCTTTGCATACGTCATTCCACATTCTTGCATTGTCACTATAAGGCAAGAATTACAGCTTCCATTTTACAAGGAGAGCTCCTCTGTCCTCATTATTGGAATCATCTCCCCCTACACACCACACTTCTTTCCCTCATATTTGTTGAATAAATAATCTATAGTAACTGCTACTAACCTAGCTTTCTTATATCATTTTTCTAAGCTATTTATAATTTCTTTAAAGTTATTTTTATGGGCAAACACATATTCTAAGTGACGACAGACCCGTTTATTTTTTCATTTGTTATTTAATTGGTAAATGAGAGAACACTTTGATTGGTAAAACTTTAGCAATATGCTTGAATTCCTCCATACATTTTTAAAAATGTTATCTCTTTTAAGCTAGACTGTCAAATCCACTCTATTTTGAGATTAAACATTAAAATATTGAGACATCAGATTATGCATTCAGTATAACCTTGAGGCATCATGCTGAGTCTCTGGTGAAATCCCCTAAGCTGGACATTAGTCCAGATTAGCATGAATCTATAGATTCATTCTTTCATTGAAAAAGCCTTCAAATCCAATTTGTGCATTGTCTTGTAAAAATTTACCAAAATGGGCAACACATTTTGATCTTATGAAGTCAGGTGGGGGAAAGAGATGTAAAAAAAAAAAATTTCTCATGTGGTCAAGTAGAAATGACAGCTTTGGAAAGAAAGAAAGCAAAGTCATTTTTCTAGCTTCCCCACTTATCAGCTGTGTGACTTTTAATAAAATATTTAGTCCCACTAAGCCTCAGTTTCCTTCCACATTTGTAAGTGGCAATAATATTATTTACCTTGTGAGGCTGTGAGAATTGAACACTATCAGCATGTAAAGCGTCCAGCACAATTACTTACCTAATGGAGAATCTCAATAAATTAGCTCCTTCCCTCCATTCCTTTCATAACTAAGGTAGTATGATGATTTCAGAGGGCTGAGGTTGAATCCTATCTCCCACATGACCTTGGGCACATTATATAAGTACTCTGAGCCCACTAAATGATCGGTAATCAGTTACTGGGGATAGTGCCAGGCTCCTAGGTTTTTCACTAAGTGAGAGCATTTATGTGCAGTTCTTAGCATTCTGCCTGACACATGCTAAGTGCTCAGACAGAAAGCTTATTATTAGTAATAATAAAAACTATGTAAGTAAAATGACATTGAAGAACAGTCAGAAGGGCTAATTTCTCCCTAAGCTGATTCTGTTAGACACAAAATTTAATGGCAAAGAGAAAGTAAAATTCAATTTTTATCAAGAGTCTCTTTCACTTACATATTTGAGAGTGCTGTCATAGCTTTACAAAATGCAGAAGGCGCTGTGGGTAGTGGGATTTGTACTTCTTTTACTTTCCCTATTTTCAACAATGAGTACATATGATCTCTACAATCAGAAAAGGGTTAAAAAAGAAAAGCAGAAAGCAGCAAAAAAAATTCAGAAAAAAATGGGTTGTGGTACTGCCTGATATAAACCAAGCAATGCATTGTGTTTTCTAGGCTGGTGTATTTACATGCTATACATAGTCACACACTGCCCTGGAATCATCCTACCACTTGCACATTTTTGAAAATTCAAATCAATAGCTCCCAGGTTTACCTTTATTACAGAAGCAGTTCTTGCAACACTGGTTAATTGCTGTGTGGCTTTCTTGTGGAGATTCAGGTTTTGGAGAGGTAATGCTAGATGAAAATGAGTTGCATAGAGCTGAAAAATAAAAACAGTGTCAAAGTACTTAAGCTTTTTTTTGTCTGTTTTTTTGGCTCTTAAGTAACAAGCTTTTGGCTAAGTTTAAACTGTAAAATAGAAGTTTTTTCTACCACTTTAGTAAGGTCGCTGATGAAGTTGAGTAAGTTGCCTTATTTCCCCACTGCCATTAAGAATGGACCGGTCCAAAGACACAGACTGCAATCTATGAGCACATGATTCTATGATCACACTCTATATATGGGTCCTTGTATAGGACAGTCCAAACTCTCACTAGTCTAGATGTTTAGTAGTTTGAAATGGCAGGCACACGTTTTTATATTATAAAAGAATACAGCTCACAGTTCTCTCTAGAAACGATGACACATCCTATGGGTTCCTGGATACGGTGAAATTTTTGGTTGGTCAGCTTACTTTCCTAAACATATTAGAGCAAATCTTCTGCCCAATGAATAAAAAGATGCATCAGCAGCCAAAAAGGCAGCATAGGTAGAAAATCACAGATGTGACTCCAGCAGCCTATGCTATGGTAATATGCTAAACTGCACAGAAATTACACAGGAATTCATAAAATCCCAACCACCATTATTTTCAGTATTTTCCAATGTTACAAGTTATATGTCACAATTTTAAAGTCTTTAAAGAAAAAACTATGTATTTTGTTCTGACACTACTGATCCTAACTATTACCCATTACATTTAAAAGAGGCATCAAGGCACCTAAAGTGTGGGACCAGACAAATTGGGCATAGCTCAGTTTTCTGATTCAACAATTAAGGATTTTTAAAAACTTCTTTACTGGTCCAGGATATCCCTCCATGATGCAGTATTGGATCCGCAAGGTGAGATATATGAAAGTCAGAAGGGGGCATAAGGCTTTTAGTTGAACGTACCTGCTGTTTCAAAGCCACATTGAGATACATGAGAGCAGGGGCCTGGTTTCACATCAGACCTCCAGGCCCATCTCAAGAGCCTTCAGTAGTAGAAGTCACTCAACCACTCTGAAATTCAGTTTCCCCATAAATAAAATGAAATAAACCAGGATGAACTCTTGAGGTCCTTCTCATTTTTAACGATCTGTGGTTCTCTGACTTTGCCAGTACCCAAGTTCTGGCCAGATTTCTGGGATTTGGCCCAGAAATATTTGGATAAATAATAATAATAATTTATTCCTTCTATCTACCAAAAACAAATAAATAACGAAACACCAGACATGAAAAAAATTATAAACAAGACAAAATAGAGTGTAGTACTATCTCCTGTTATTTATATTTAATATTTGTAATAGTTTGTGGTGGAGGTTGTCAATAACCACCTTTTCTCCAGATTGATTTCTTCTTGCTCATCACCCTCCTCCATTTCTCTGAAGGACACAACCCTCTTTGTATTATGTTAATTTTGGGGGAAAGTCTTTTCTAGCTGGGATTTCAGCCCTTCTCTCATTCTTCTCCTACCTTTATGATTGTCTCTCTGACCTGAGCTTCTCTTCTTTTTCCCCCACCTTAACTTCATATTTACCATAAAGTTCAGCCCCATCTTTTCTGCTTTTCTTTCTGTGCATTCACTTGCTTGGAGAAATCACACTTTCTCATCTAATAGCCAACCTTTTCTATGTCAAAGATTCTCCAACTCATACCCACAGTGCAAGTTTCTTTCCTAACATATGTCCAACTATTATATAAATATTTACATATCCTGACATCACATCATTCTAACATGTCCAAAACAAATTCATCATTTCCTTTCCTTCTCCACTTGCCAAGAAAAATCCAGGCTAAGTCCTATCTCCAGTTTTTTCATCTTCATTCACAACACTGATCTTCTCTCAAGAAACTAGCCTCAAAAACTTTGGACATTTCTTTGTATTTTGCTGTGGTTAAGGAGGAGTCAAATTGCTTAGGTTCAAATCATAAGCTAGTCATCTACTAGCTTTGCGATCTGGCAACTTATTCAACTTCTCTGTCTCAGTTACATTTGTAAACATGAGGGTGATAATGATATTTACCTCATAAGTGCAAACTGTTAATATATTGTGAAGTGTTTAGCACAGTGTTTGTCATAAGCTAAGTGTCGAGTAAATAATAGCTAACCAGGTAAGCAAAACAAAAAACAAACAAAAAACCACCAACGTATGGTTAACTTAAGGAAAAGCCATAAGGAAATATAATAATGATACACTACATGTGGTTCATAATAATTGTGTCATGATGATATAAACACTGAATATGGACTTAACCAAAAGTTGTGAAATAGCAGGATAAAAAGAATGGAGGAGGGGAAGCATCTATGCAGTTGGGAGTGTGTATGCGTGTGTGTATGTGTGTGACATTCTGTGTCTGAGAGAGATGATATAAGAATGCTAAATCATCATCTCCCAGGATAGAAAGCTAATATGTAATACTTATAACAAAAAGGCCAGGAAGTAGCAATAAACATAAGTTATTGAGAAATACAGGGGTAAGAACTAACAGAAAACAGACTAGAAGCAGGAATCAGGGGGATGGGGTATATCTGAGGGCTACTCTTTTTCCTTAAAACACTATGTTTATATATTACTCAGATAAAAATAAAAATTTAAAAAGTAATTCATTATATCATGGAATGTGTGTTTAGAGGTCATATAAATCCCAGGAAAAATGCTGACACATAAAAAACCTATTAGTTCTACTTTTTTTTTTTTTTGAGACAGAGTCTCGCTCTGTCGCCCAGGCTGGAGTGCAGTGGCGCAATCTCGGTTCACTGCAAGCTCCACCTCCCAGGTTCACGCCATTCTCCCGCCTCAGCCTCCCAAGCAGCTGGGACTACAGGCACCCGCCACCAGGCCCAGTTAATTTTTTTTTTTTTTTTTTTTTTTGTATTTTTAGTAGAGACCGGGTTTCACCGTGTTAGCCAAGATGGTCTCAATCTCCTGACCTCGTGATCTGGCCGCCTCGGCCTTCCAAAGTGCTGGGATTACAGGCGTGAGCCACCACGCCCAGCCTATTTCTACGTTTTAATTGCCCACACTATAACTTATAGTCCATGATAAAACTGATTTTTAAAATGCTTAGAGAAATTTATGATAAATTTATAACCAAAGCTAAGAAAGGTAGGAATGCCTGAGTAACAGCTTAGTCTGGGGGGTATCATGAAATGCAACCATGACCCCTGAAAAATATTATTTATCGCTGTCAGGAACAGAAAACCAGGTTGCAAGACTCTAAATCTGACCTACAATTTAACAAGCAGGGTTTCTTCAAGTGTGAATATTTATTCAAATGGTGGTCAGGCCCAAGATGGGTTTGGTAATACTATTTAAAATAATTTTGGCTAACAATCTCTTCCATTAAAGCATAACACCATTTTTTCTGCCTTATATCTCCATCAGGTATCAGTGCCACCAACATACTTGGAACAGTATTTATAAGAACAAATTATTTGCAAAGTGAATTACATTTCACTAATTAAAACTATAGCTTCAGCACAGTTAAAAAATCCTCTAAATATGTGCTGCTTCATAAATGTAGACAGGTTTGTTATTCTTTCCTAAAAAAGTGAAATCAATAAAATTGATGATATTTTATAAAGGTAAGGAAATTCAAAACCTCCAATTAATAAGTATTAGTAATTAATGGTTTAGAAGATGATTTGTTAAAATTACTTAAACCCAATTTGATAGTAGTAGGAGCAGAAGGGTCTTAACTTGAGAATGCCTCAGGGCTAATTTCTGCTTTAAGGCACAGTTGGTTCCGGTGAGCTTTTGAATATCAGTCATATATCAGAACCATGAAAACCCCACTCTGCTGTGGAGCTCAGAATGGGTGGGGTGGCTTTCTGAGGAGGATGTGAATCACTAAGATGCTAAGGGAAGTGCTGATTGGTAAAACAAAGGGTATCATCGCAGAAGATACTAAGGACCAGCTCTCAAAGTATACATTTAAGCACTTGTAGCTTTGCTCCTATATCTGTCATATATTTAAGAGGAAAAAATAAGTTAATCAAGGAACTATAGCATCCTAATATGTGAATACATAAAAATTACCTGAACCAAAAAAAAAAGTGAGTGCTTCTGCAATCAATGCTCTAGTGCCCCACAAGAAAGCCAACAGGCTATGGCAGGACTCCTTTTCACACTCAGGTTTCCAGGCATGCTGACAAGCATGTTTCTGGAGACTGCCACAAAAGAAATTTGTTTTCTCAGATGTTTCCTGCCCCTAGTCCAAGAAATTAGGCTATGAGCCGAGCACGGTGGCTCATGCCTGTAATCCCAGCACTTTGGGAGGCCGAGGCAGGCGGATCACGAAGTCAGGAGATCGAGACCATCCTGGCTAACACAGTGAAACTCTATCTCTACTAAAAATACAAAAAATTAGCCGGGCATGGTGATGGGCGCCTGTAGTCCCAGCTACTCAGGAGGCTGAGGCAGGAGAATGGCATGACCTCAGGAGGCGGAGCTTGCAGTGAGCCGAGATCGTGCCAGTACACTCCAGCCTGGGCGACAGAGCGAGACTCTGTCAAAAAAAAAAAAAAAAAAAGAAATTAGGCTATGAAGTATCACAGTCAATTAAGAAATTTTTACATATTGCTGCATTGTCTAAAAGTCACACCATCTTGGTTCCTCATTCTTGCCCTTCTCAGTCAGTGAAACAGTATTAAAAAACTTCAAATTTGCTTCTGTGATCCCCACATTAAAATCTGCATTTGTTCAACCATTGTGGAAAGCAGTGTGGTGATTCCTCAAAGAACTAAAAACAGAACTACCATTTGACCCAGCAATACCTTTATTGGGTATATGCCCAGAGGAATATAAATCATTCTACCATAAAGACACATGGATGCGTGTGTTCTTTGCAGCACTATTCACAATAGCAAAGACATGGAATCAACCTAAATGTCCATCAGCAGTAGACTGAATAAAGAAAATGTGGTGCATATATACCATGAATACTATGCAGCCATAAAAAAGAATGAGATTAGGTCATTTGCAGAAGCATGGATGGAGCTGGAGGCCATTATCCTTGGCAAACTAACACAGAAACAGAAAACCAAATATCACATATTTTCACTTATAAGTCAGAGCTAAATAATGAGAACACATGGACAGATAGAAAGGAACAACAGACACTGGGACCTACTTGAGAGTGGAGGGTGGGAGGAGGGAGAGGTTCTGATATGGTTTGTTTCTGTGTCCCCACCCAAATCTCACCATAAATTGTAATAATCCCCATATGTCACGGGCAGGACCAGGTAGAGATAATTGAATCATGAGGGCAGTTTCCCCCATACCATTCTTGTGATAGTGAGTGAGTTCTCATGAGATCTGATGGTTTTACAAGGGGCTTCCCCTTTCCCTTGGTTCTAACTTCTCTTGCCTGCCACCATGTAAGATGTGCCTGTTTCACCTTCCACCATGATTGTTTCCTGAAGCCTCCCTAGCCATGTAGAACTGTGAGTCAATTAAACCTCTTTTCTTTATAAGTTACCCAGTCTCGGGTATGTCTTCATAGCAGCATAAAAATGGACTAATACAGGTTCAGGATAAATAACTGTTGGGTACTAGGCTTAGTATCTGGGTGACAAAATAATCTGTACACTAGATCCCCAGGTCACGAGTTCACCTATATAGCAAACCTGTATATGTACCCCTGAATGTAAAATAAAAGTTAAAATATTTTTAAAATTAAGATAAAATCTGCATTTGTTTTAAACTCAGGCTCAGCTCTAAGGCTATCAAGGTTTAAAAGAAAGAAATTCATTAACAAAGTGATGCATTCATACTTAACTCTCCAACTTTACTGCTCATTGAAATCACCTGGGGAGCTTTTAAAAATGCACATTGTGGGCTGGGCATGGTGGTTCACCCCTGTAATCCCAGCACTCTGGGAGGCCAAGGTGGGTGGATCACCTGAGGTCAGGAGTTTGAGACCAGCCTGGCCAACATGGCGAAACCCCGTCTCTACTAAAAAATACAAAAATAAGCTGGGCGTGGTGGCATGTGCCTGTAATCCCAGCTACTCAGGAGGCTGAGGCTGGAGAATCGCTGGAACCCGGGAGGTGGAGGTTGCAGTAAGCCGAGATCGCACCACTGCACTCCAGCCTGGGTGACAGAGTGAGACTCCATCTCAAAAAAAAAAAAAAAAAAAAAAAAAAGCACATTGTGGATCATACCTCCAGAGATTCTGAAGTACAGCCTGGGCATCTGAACTTATGTATACTCCCCAGGTAAGTCTAACGTGCAGCCCCTGATGAGAAGTGCTGCTCTGGAGAAACAGTGCTCTCAACACTACGAAGTTGACTTCATGTTCATCATCTTCATTAGACTGTGTGCTCTTTGAGCAGAGTGGATTGATTTATTTTCTGTCTACTTCTTTGGCTTCTATTTTGTTCAATTCTTTGCAAAGGTGAATCCAAGAGAATAATGCTGCACAAAAGATTTAAGGAATGTTAATTAAATAACCCATCTATTTCTGATCCTGTACCAGTGGTTTTCCTGAGTTACAGACAAAAGAACTCTACCTTATATCCACAAGAAAATATTTCTTAGGATAATAACCATTGATAAAACTCAATAATGGAAATCATTATACATTTTGCACTTTTCATTCCAACTCAAGTCTGTTTTAAGGATCATCTTTTTACTACCCATAATAAGTTTCTTTGGAAAGAAAGTTAAAAATTACCAATTGAGCTAAAAGAATGTTGGGGTCAGATACCTGGTGTATTTCTACTTGTTTTAGAATGTCTAGCAGTTTAGTATGGTATTCAACAACCTAAAGGAAGACATTTAACAAATTACCTGGCTTGGTCATATTAATTTCTAGAATTTGATACTCACCCTTATAATTACCATGGCAAAGCCTTATTTTAAGAGCTATGGGAGGTCACTGAGTATCTTTAGTATAGGAATGACATTGTTTCCTCATAGGAACTTGGAAGCAGACCAGATAGAAAAACCTAAGTTCAGTTTTGGGCTACTGAATTTGAAATGTCTTTGAGACATCCAAGTAGAAGTGTCAATTTAGTTTCTTGGCTGTGCTGTGAGAGGAGAAGTAAATTTGCAAATCTCTATAGACAGAAAATAACTGAAGTTATGGGCAAGATGAAGGGGCTTTTGGAAAAAGAGGAGAATGAAAAGAGTGAGGAACTCCAACATATATGGTCATATACAAGAGAATTTCAACTAAAAGGGAAACAATACAATAAATATACCTTAATCTCTTCCATATTTCTAATTACTTCTTGTATAATGCTAGCAGTGGAATTATGAGGTTTGTAACATATGTAATATATATAGATAGATATAGCTCATATGGCTTATCTATATCACTGCATCTCTTCTGCCTAGTTATTGAAAAGAATTGAGTTTTTTATAGTAAAGGTGACATCTTTACTAACAAAATTGTACCATTTGAAGAACTGATCTGATGGCTACCACTAGAGCCTTTCAAAGTTCTTTGTCCCTGGACTTGCACTACCATTGTAGCCATGATGCTACATATGAGACCAGGTGACTAAAAAAGGTTATTTTTTACTAATTAAATCTATTTACATGGTGAAAAAAAATTAAGAGCATTTCAAGTTTCCTGATTCATACTGATGTGATTTTAGAAAGCTTATACCAATTTTCCTCCCTATCACCAGCACTTAATATGATCTTTGTCAATTTGATTGGTAAAACATTATCCCATTATCTCAGGCAACTATATGAAATAATTTATATTATGGAAGCATAAATAGTATTGCTACGTAACTGAGACCAAGAGACTCCTGAATACAGATTTGTGTTTAAACTGAGACCATGCAGAAAATACAGTAAATATCCAGTAAACTCGCTGAATTAAGTTGAAATCAAAGTATGGCTATTTGTTTTCAGAAAACAAAGATTTTCAAAAAGCAAAGATTCCAATATCTGTTTCCTGGGATGTGGTGGCGTGGCCCCAGACTGCTTAGCTAATTAGTTCTGGTAGAGCCTCTCAGAAATCTTTCAGCTGGCAGGGACTTCCAGGATGCAGCTCAGGGAGATGGAAACTCGATAATGGCGATTTTTTTGTTATTTTTTGTTTGTTTGTTTGTTTGTTTGTTTTTTAAGCTGAGAATTTCAAATCCATTTTATTAATGTTCTTTAACATTGCTTGGAAAATAAGCAAGCATTGCCTAACATATATTTTGGTCAACCAATTAGTATAAATTCACAGGTAAATGTATTGATATGCACTCTATTTTCTGGTTTGTTAACCTCAAGAATAAAGCATCACACTACTGAATGTATCATGATTAAGTTCAAAGCCTTTTGGCATCGCTGTCTTATCTTAATATGACTAGATCCAGATTCATTCCAATTGATATCTTTGTAATACTAATGCACATACTTTTCTTAAAAGAATTGCAGTCTCTCATAAAATATCTATATTTTTAACTGAGTCCATTGGAGATATTATAAACTGAAAGCGTATTTGTAAATAGGGACTGTGTTTTTAAGTTGGTTCCTGTTTGTATATTATCTTCAATTCCTGTTATTTCCTGCTCCCTACTGTCAGAGGCATTTGAACCAGAGCAACTCCATCTCTAATAGGGGCTGAGTAAAATAAAGCTGAGACCTACTGGGCTGTATTCCCAGGAGGTTAGGTATTCTTAGTTACAGGATGAAACAGGAGGTCAGCAGGACTAGTATCACAAGATACATGTCACAAAGACCCTGCTGGTAAAACAGGATGCAGTAAAGAAGCCAGTCAAATCCCACCAAAATCAAGACAGTGACCTCTGGTCGTCCTCACTGCTTATTATACACTAATTATATGGCATTAGCTAAAAGACACTCCCACCAGCGCCATGACAGTTTACAAATGCCATGGCGACATTCCAAAGTTATCCTATCTGATCTAAAAAGCAGAGAGACCCTCAGTTCTGGAAATAGCCCATCCCTTTACCTGAAAATTCATGAATAATACACCCTTTATTTAGATATAATAAAGAAATAACCATAAAAATAGCCAACCAGCAGCCCTCAGTGCTGCTATGGCTATGAAGTAACCATTATTTTATTTCTTTACTCTCTTAATAAAATTGCTTTCATTTTATGGATTCGTCCCAAATTCTTTCTTGAGTGAGATCCAAGAAGTGGAAAGGGGTCAGGATCGGGACCCCTTTCCATTAACACTACAACTTCACTTAAAAGGCAACACATCTACTTCTATAGAAATTAAAGAACTCCCAATTTTCGCTCCATCAAGCTTGTTGGTATTGCCTGCTATGAGCCTGCCCTACCTAGCATTTGTCTTGATAGGTTGCCTCAAGTTTGTATCTGGTTGCTTTCTTACGTGCTTGGATTTGAATCCCAGCATCACCCTTTACAACCTGCATGATCCCAAGAAGGTTATTCAACCTCTCAGATGCCACAGTTTCTTCATCAGTACACAGGTGATACTAATAGCACCTATCTCACATAGGCAATTAAGCAAGCACTGCAAGTGTTATAATAATCGTTTTGCCTGGTTGTTTCTGTTATTGCTGTTGTTAATGGTTTCAATTGTTTGCTTGGGTTCACATATCCATAAACACATGAATTAAAATTCAGTCCCCCCTCCACACACACACAAATAGATAAGCCATAGAATCATCTCTCTTCCCCTCTTCTTCTCACCCTCCGCTTCACCCTCCTTCCTCCCCTCTTCCCTCTCCCCATCTCTCTAGTGGAAGCAAGGAGAATGAATTTGAGAGCAAGCCTGAGACTGGGAGACCAATTGGAAAACTAGACCAACCAGCCCTAGGTATTTGTGAGGGGAGGGATTACTGAGTACAGAAACAGATAATGATGTATTTATAGCATGAGAAGCATCAATAGTACAGTCTGCGTTTTTCATGCACCTATTAAAAAGCACACGACGTTGGGACCGGGGACTGGGGCTACAATTTCCAGATCTAAAAGTCAGGGAGGGCTTTGTGGGAACTGGGATGGCCACCTGGGAGCTGGGTCTCCTCCACGCGGGTTACCTTAGTCCAGGAGTGAGTGCGCTCACTGACCAGGGCCACGAGCAGCGCCGCCGAGGCCGCGCCCTGCAGCTGGCTGTGCCTGGACCGCTTCGTCCACGGCCTCTAACCAGGCGACCTGCTAGAAAAGGACATTTGACTTCCTGGGTTTAGGTCCCAAGACGAGGAGCGGGAAGCTGCCTACCTTGGGGTGGAGAGGACTGGAGTAGGCGGTAGGAGCGAGTCATTGTCATATCCCCCTCCTAGGCATTTTCATCATCATCACAAAGGGACCCAGCTCACCTGGGAAGGGGCGGGACCCAGGGAAGGTACAATGCCCTTCTAGCTGGCCACCTCTACCCCAAAAGCAGGGCCTGCTGCTGCCACCCTGGATTCTTAAACAAGCAAACAAAACCTCTTCCTCTATGCTCATCAGTACGAATATTTCCGTTGATAAGCCTTACTGCTGCTCCTCCATCTTCTTTTTTTTTTTTTTGATACGGAGTGTCGCTCTGTCGCCCAGGCTGGAGTGCAGTGGCGTGATCTCGGCTCACTGCAAGCTCCGCCTCCCGGGTCACGCCATTCTCTTGCCTCAGCCTCCAGAGTAGCTGGGACTACAGGCGCCCGCCACCGCGCCCTGCTAATTTTTTGTATTTTTAGTAGAGACGGGGTTTCACCGTGGTCTCGATCTCCTGACCTCGTGATCCGCCCGCCTCGGCCTCCCAAACTGCTGGGATTACAGGCGTGAGCCACCGCGCCCGGCCTCCTCCATCTTCTTAATAATAATAAAAGACAAACCATTGTTTTTGACTTGTGTTTTCCCGTGCATTCTCTTGTGTTCTCCTTGCCGGTGTTCCCGGCTGTGGGCCTTCAGGTCGAGGGGTCAGTTGAAGCCTTTCTTCCCTTCATTGCTCCTGCCCGCAGCGCTTCCAGACCCCTCCTTCAGTGCCGGAGCCCCGCCCTTATATTGTGAACTTCTTCCAATGTCTCATCAGTTTCCAGCCAGAATCCTGTCTGATCCTCCTATATTTGCCTTAAATTCTTTAGTTATGTAGTCTGAAATTCACCTACTAGCAATAAGCTTCCTATTTAAAATGCAGGCTGGGCGCGGTGGCTCACGCCTGTAATCCCAGCACTTTGGGAGTCCAAGGCGGGTGAATCACCTGAGGCCAGGAGTTCCAGACCAGCCTGGCCAAGATGGTGAGACCCAAGATGGTGTGGCCAACATGGGCGCCAAGAGTGAAACTCCATCTCAAAAAAAAAAAAGAAAGAAAGAAAAAGAAAAGAAAAAATAATAAAATACAGATACTACTGGGTGGGTAGGCACTCTTTTCTATCCAAATTAGAATTGTTCCATCATCCCGTATTTTCCTAAAAATTTAACACAGCGGTTTCAAAGGGAAGCTAGCATAGTGGAATCAGGGAACTGTGGAGGAAAGGTACTGGGCTGCAGGTATCATAGGCGTAGTAGAAGACAAGAACAATGGAAAGGAGTCCCAGGCTCCAAGAATCACTTTCCTACCTTTTCAGGTCTGGTCTGGGTAGAGCTGGAGAAAGTATTCACTTTAGTAATGCAAGCGCTAAAATGTTACAATCAAAGATTTTAACAAAAAATAAACATTTAAAAGCTAATTCTTTACCAAAATCTCCTGCAAAACACTGAGGGAAAACTCCATTTGTAATCTACAGTAAAACCTGATAACCTCTTTTCACATCTGCCCTTATCAATGTATCTCACACTGTAATTGTCATCCCAGATCCTTCCCTCCTTTACTTCACAATTCCCAAAACTTTCCCCTACAACCCAAACAGGACAGCTATTCTTTTGGTTTCTCAGGTATGTATTCTCTCACCTGCTGGAACTAAAGAAATGTTGGTTCTTGTTGTAATTCATCCTAAGCGTGAAAAGTTCCTTGATAAACTTTTGTCCAAACTGTCAATAAATAAATGTGTCACTAGAGAATAAAAGGAGAGAGAAAAGAAAGCAGACTTTATTTTTTAATAAGACAAGGAAATTGATCATCCTGTCTTCCTAATTTGCTGTTTCTTCATGGTTAGTGAGTCGCTTTGCATTTTTTCCAAGACGCAAGACACATAGTTCAATCTCCTTCCCATGAGAGCAGTGTCTAGTTGTATTCTGAGAATTACACAGTGTTTGATTTTTACAGTCCATGATACTAATGACTTCATAAGCATCTTCAGTTCCTAAAAATAAACAGATAGATGAACAAAAACAAGGATATACTTACTTGCAATAGACTTCAAATATAAAGCTTTGTGGGAAAATATTGATGAGAATGGCCCATGGTAGCAAAATAGTTTTCAATCAGATTAAAAAATATATTTCAGAAGGGACTGACAGGGCCTGCAGGTACACCTCACTTGGTGCAGAAAAACAGTTGACCTCCCTTTGGACTGTATAAGCCTAGCATTATTGGACAATCCCGAGAGAGCCCAATGCTAGGCTTTCTAGAAGATCAGTACTGAACATCATACATGCTGGATGTTCTGCCATTGCAGGCAGGTGAGGGCCGCTGGGGTATAAATCTTAGGCACAGTTTCTCAGGAGGCAATATATACCACTCCATTCCTATCTGAAATCCACGTCAAGGACTTCTACTACCCTCCACTTTCAGTTACCTCACCCAGGGCCATTTTAGAAAACAACATCATCACTCTTGCAAATTACTTTTTTCTAAGCTGATTTTCCTCTGCCTGAATCTTCTTACTAATTATTTCGCTTTTAAAAAACCCATGCATTGTATGTAATTTGTAAGCTTCCTTATATGTTCAGGAACAAGAAAAAACCAAAAGGTAGAGGGGAGAAGAGTAAGGAAGGTGAGAAGAGAGAGGAGAAAAAAGGAAGAAAAGAGAGTGGATGTTTTCTGTGTTGCCCTTGTCCTCCACTAATACAGACACTTATTACCAAGATGTCCAGAACAGGCCCAAGAGAAAGAGAAAGGAGACAGGGAGAATTGCCCTTGAGGTAGTAAATTATTCACATAACTTCAGGGCTGTCCTTTTTTTGGAAGGATCCCACAATGTTTATCATCAGCCACAAGCTTCTTCCTAGTCTCATATCTCTACTGCATTATCTCCAGTTAGAAGTCTTGCTGTCACTTCAAGGTAACAATTTCTAAAATCATTTTCACTGGCTTCATCTCAATCAGCTCCTCTTCCCTGCATTCACATTTCTATTAACAGCACCACCACTTTCTAAATCCCTCACAAACTCCTTCTGTGCCATCATTCCATCACTGGCTCCTCCTCTGTCTTCTCTCCTTTATACCATCAGTGTTTTTCATCTTCCTTACATTATCTCTTTCCACCATTCCTTTCTTTTTTTTTTTTTTTTTTTTTTGAGACGAAGTCTTGCTCTGTCGCCCAGGCTAGAGTGCAGTGGCACAATCTCAGGTCACTGCAACCTCTGCCTCCCAAGTTCAAGTGATTCTCCTGCCTCAGCCTCCTGAGTAGTGGAATTACAGGCATGCACCACCACGACTGAGGCTAGTTTTTGTATTTTCAGTAGTGACGGGGTTTCACCGTGTTGGTCAGGCTGGTCTTGAACTCCTGACCTTGTGATCTGCCCACCTTGGCCTCCCAAATTGTTGGGATTACAGGTGTGAGCCACCGTGCCTGGCCCACCATTCCTTTCTTTTGATTCTTAACCCTATCAGGCCCTTATCATTTTATGGTTTTAAAGGTAAACTCCAATAATTTCACAGTTTTTCTCCAGGCTCATCCTGCTTGAGGATATTCTGAACTGAAAGAAGAACTTGCTGAAGAAGATAAACTAAAAAAAAAAAAAGTGAAATAGTAATATTGATAATATTCGTTAACATTTCTTAAGCACTTTCTATTTGCTAAGCACTTCCTAAAATCCCTTGACATGAATTAGCACATTTAAGGCTCACAACAAACTCACTATCTGCACCTTACTTTGATTAGGCAGAGAAAGATGAGAGTAAATATTCCATTTTCGTGGTATACTGGGAGTTAGAGGACCTGTACTCAAGCTCTCAAAATCATTATTTATAAAATTAGCGGACAGAGGCGATGATCTCTAAATTCCCTTTCTTGGAAATAACCTAAGTCTATCCCAGCGTTGAGATGAGAAATTTGGCATGAAATAGAAAGGGAATCATGGAATTCTTCAAATTCGATTATATTTTTTAGACTAGAAGGAGAAACTAATTCATCCATTAAAAAAATTGATCCAACAAATGTTCATTGAGCAGCTACTAATTAACACTGGCAATAGATGGTTGTTTATGCCATTTCATGCTGGCTTCTCATTCACTCAAATGCTTCCCTTACTATTACTAAAGCCTTACCTGAGGTAGACAGCTGGCCAAGGAAGAAAAGAGCAAAGAAAAGGTAATGAATCTTCATGGCAAGGTAGCTCTGAAACAACAAAGTGTCTTAAAAAGATAAACCAATATAAATGGAGATGATTTTAGAATCAGAGCTCCTGTATTTAGAAACTTTCATGGGTGAGCAGGACTTTACATGTCTTATTTTCTCTCAGATTTCTGGGCAGCCAACTCCCCACAAGCCCTGTACACCTCCTATTTGTTTAGATCCCATTATGACATGTGCAGCCCTTATTACATCTTCACAACACTCCTGGCTTATCCATTTCCCTCCACAGTGTCTCAGTGACCCACCATCAGGGCTTAACCTCTGGACCTCTTATCCCTTAAAAGATGTCTAACTTGATGGTCCTGTTGGAGGTGATACCTCTTCACCTGACACCATTTTCACACCCTCCACATAGGACCAGTGCTTGCCGTTATTCTTTGTACTCCTTTCCTGGACTGCTCGTCGTGTTCACCAAGATCAATGCTGCCCTTCTTAATACTGACATAAGGTCAGGAGCTGACTTGAATCTTCACAGCCCTCAACTCAACATCCTCTCCTCCTGTTCTAAGTCTGGCAAACATTGTTGAAAATCATCCTGTGACTATGTTAATATTTCACTTTTATCTACTGTCAACTGGTCCTGTCCCATGTAGCTGCTCTCCTACTAAGTGTGATTTCCATGACGAAAGGGACTGTATCTTCTCTGCTCCTGTGTCTAGCACAATGTCTTAACATGGTACATTTTCATCAGACTTTCTGGAACTGTTGAACTGCCTTTCTCCACACTTTTGGAGGGTTTTGTTATCACTCTTTTTGATTCCTCTCACCCTACGGTGGCTGTTTATATCAAGACTAACCCGCCTCTCTCCGTTATTCGCACGATTACTTAAAACCTTCTCCTTCTTACTTTCCTGAAACTATTGAGCCATCACTTTTATATTCCTTCATCTCACCTTATATTTACATTAAAATATCTCTCTTTACCTTCATTCATTCCTATCTTTTCTTTCAGAAGAGATGCCACTTCTGCCTTCAAAAAAACTGTCATCTTCCCAGGCTCTCTCTCTGATCCTTTTCTACCATTTTCCTCCATCCCAAACTTCAGAATCTCATTTTTCTCTCCAAGTTCATAATTTAATCATTAATTCTCACTGTGGTTGGAGAAAAAGAAAAACAAAAGCCAATAAACAAAATGGAAAATAACCCTTGACCCTGCTTCCCCTCTGGGTTCAGTCCAATTTCATGCCCATCTTACACTGAAAAGCAATCAGAGGGAATGGTTTCTGTTGCATTTCATTGACCACTACCTATTCTCTCCAAAACTTCTGCCATCTAGATTCTGTTCCCTCTTTCTATCAAACTTACCCCCAGGATTCACCAGTGAATAAACAAACCAAGGAGTTCATAGTTTTTATGCCCATTGCTCAAGATGTCATCATTACTTTTGATACTAGTAAGCCTGCACCTTTAGAACTCCAGCTTCTACCCTGATTTTCTCCTACCCTTTGTTTCAGTTTCCTTTTCAAACTCCTCCTCTTCCTGGAGAGGTTCCCCCAGACTTCTTTAGAGCTGTGCTCTTCTGTTTTTACCTCTCCCTAGACATCTCCCATGACTGCTAACGCTATCACCTTTGGTGTAAACTCCAAAATCTTGCTTGTGCATCTCCAGGCCTGATCACTTTTCCCAGGCTTCTGTCCCTTGGTTCCATCTGTTTATATCCCATAATCTTTTCCAGATCCACAGGATTGAATTTACACTCAATGGAACCTCAACAGGCAGACTCCAATACTTGTAGATTCATATCTATAACTGATATCTCTTAGATCACAATTGCTTGTGAACAGGAATGTAAACATTCCTGCAGACGATGGAGAAGTTAGGTTTAATGTTGGACATAGATGGCAAAGGCAACACTTAATACAACATTAGAGTCTCTTACACAGGAAATTAATAATGCAGCCTTTAAATTATGATTATGTTTTATCATAGATTCTCCTAAAAAGAATTTAAGACAGCTTATTTAATAGACACACACGAGGTTAAAATGATATTATAAAATTGGGGTGGAAAAAATAAGATAAAATCACAGGTAAGCTATAAATGAACCACAAATTTTGGTTGCATTTGTTGCAGTAAAAACAGGAATGGACACTTAATAGTTACAGAAGTCACAAAGACATAGCATAAAAACATTTCCATTACTAAGGACAAATACAACTCTTTTTTTTTTTTTTCTGGCATGGAGATTTGAGAGAAATTTCTCCCAGGAGTTCTCTTTGAAAAGTCAGTTAGTGATGTGGGACAATATGTTTGCTTATGTTTTATGCAGCTATTTATTATTGCATTCATCCATGTAAACAGATGGCATAATGTCAAAAAAGCATTTCAATAAAAGGCTATGTGATGTTAAATAATATGGTCCATGTTTGCAACTCACTGAGTATTTGGCTCATTCGAGATTGAAATGTGGAAAACATTTAGCCTTTCATAAGGAGTAAGTAAGAAAGCTAAGGGATGAAAAGGCTGGCCAAAGCTGGGGAGTCAAACCCGAACTAAGAAGCCAGAAAGCAAGGAATCAGAAATGAGAACACTCCGTAAGACTGAGGACAAGGCATGGCCATCAGTTAGCCCTCAGGATATCAGTTCAGACAGCCTATTATCACAACAGAAATAAAACTCTACGACCTGGCATGGTGGCTCACACCTGTAATCCCAGCACTTTGGGAGGCTGAAGCGCATGGATCACCTGAGGTCAGGAGTTTGAGACCAGCCTGACCAACATGGAGAAACGCTGTCTCTACTAAAAATACAAAAATTAGCCTGTCGTGGTGGCACATGCCTGTAATCCGAGCTACTCAGGAGACTGAGGCAGGAGAATCTCTTGAACCCGGGAGGCGGACGTTGCAGTGAGCCAAGATCGCGCCATTGCACTCCAGCCTGAGCAACAAGAGTGAGACTCCGTCCCAAAAAACAAAACAAAACAAAACAAAAAAACTCTACTGGCAAAGATGTCACAAAGTACTCCTACCTCTCCACCCCCACTTTCTCCAAGTAGACTCTACGGTAGCCACAGGACACCAGTAACTAATTGTCCTTATTAATTAGAGAACCTTCCTATCCTGTTCAAAATGCCTTTGCACTTCCTGCTAAGGAAGGAGCCAATTCCAGGCACCATTCTGCAGCCTTGGAAGCAGGTAGTGGACTGTGGTGAGAAGTCTATTGGAAGTTCAGTCAGAAGGACTAATGGTGATTTGCCAGGCACGGTAGCTCACACCTATAATCTCAGCACCGTGGGAGGCAAAGGTGGGTGGATCTCTTCAGCCCGGGAGGTCGAGACCAGCCTGGGAACACAGTGAAACCCCGTTTCTACAAAATAAAAATTAAAAATTAGCCGGGGATTATGGTACATGCCTGTGGTCCCAGCTACTCAAGAGGCTAAGGAGGGAGGATCGCTTAAGCCCAGGAAGCAGAGGTTGCAGTGAGCCGAGAATGCACCACTGCACTCCAGGCTGGGTGACAAAGCTGACCCTGTCTCAAAATATCCCTAAAAAAAACAACAAAAAAAGGCAGGGTTAATGGTGATTATATCATTAGTGGGGAGGGAGGAATGAGGGCATGGGTAAGTACTGCCATTAGGATGGGGTTAGCAAGTAGATTTGTGTCTACTTTTTCAGAAAAAGTACTCCATAAAGTACTCCATACAGCCTGGAAGCAAACTATACAGGGCAGCATGGCAGCTCCATGATCACCAGGCTCCTTTGTCTTGTTGCTCCACTGCACACAATGCATGGATACCACCTCATGGTCCTCGATGGCTACTCAAGCTCCAACTATCTGCTTGCATTCCAGTCATCAGGAAGCAAGATGTGTGAGGAAGGACACACTCCTTTTTAAGGAAGCTTCCTGAGTTGCATATGACACTTTAACTTATATAATTTTGACATGGAGACATTGCAAAACGCTTTTATGAAAGATTCAATGCCATGATGCAGACAAACCATCTAGCTTAGGACAACCTTGTAGAATGGGGTCTTCTGTGAAACACTATGTAAAGTGCCAATTTCAAGGCCTTATTATAGTTTCAAATGCCTTAAATCAGAAGAAGAGACATCCCCCATTTTAAAATTGACATTTCTGTCCTAAGTAAAAATTCATCAAAAAATTTTTATACTAAAAAGGAAATAAAAGTATGCTGCATTAAAATTTAGAACTGGGAACATCAAGCTATTAGATATTTTAGTTCTGTACTGTATTTAATTAAGATGGAGTACAACAGATGAGAGAGAGGAAAAAAAAGAAATCTAAGAAAAGAGGTGGATGAACATTCAGTATTCATCCTACTCTAAAGAACAGAGTTAAACAGATTCACCAGTATTACTTTAAGTTATCCCTACACACAGAAAATTCAACTATTTTTGAAATGATTTTTAGTGTCCTAATTTTAAACTAAAAAAGGAACAGCCTTTACAAAATGTATGGCCCCTAAATGAAAAGCAAATTTCAGTAATATTAATCACATTATCTAAGTGGTTTCCACTTGGGTACCATAAGAAAATTCTGAATAAACTTAATAAAGAACTTTGCACAAAAAAATGGCAAAGATGACAGTTGATTTCCAAACATGATGGCAACTGAAGTTCTGCCTATATTCCGTAGCAGCATCTGAAGTCTCATATCACCTTCCTTCACTCACTTTTCTGCTTGTTTTAGTATTATCCCAAATAATGCATTTTTCCCCTAGACTCATCAATATGATGATAAATCTTAAACACATAATGCGTTAAGCAAAAACAACATCAATTTGC
The DNA here is from genome assembly GCF_000001405.40 of Homo sapiens. NCBI lineage: Eukaryota > Metazoa > Chordata > Mammalia > Primates > Hominidae > Homo > Homo sapiens. The sequence continues at coordinate 112,613,445 of NC_000007.14, read as the reverse complement.
AAAAGGATATGAAGAGTATGATCCAATTACACAAAGTTTTAAGACCTTATATAAAGTCTTTAATGCTTGTGGGCATACGTTAGTATGCTAAATATAAAAACATGATGAATACCTAATTTTGAATAGTAGTTATCTCTAGTGAAGGATACACCAGAGACTTAATACCAAAACATCTGATTTCTTAAATAAATGAAGCAAATTTGGCAAATTATTAAGACTCATCCAAATTGTGTGGGGAATACAGATATATCCTTCTCTATACTTCTGTTTGTGTGATATAATTTATAATTTTAAGTAAATAAATTAAAGTGAATAAATTATTCTAATCAAGTGACTAGAGAAAAAATAACAAAATAATTTCAGAGAAAGTAGAAAAAGGAATGTATAACATAGTGTTGGAAGTTCTGGCCAGGGAAATCAGGCAAGAGAAAGAAATAAAGGGTATTCAATTAGGAAAAGAGGAAGTCAAATTGTCCCTGTTTGCAGATGACATGATTGTCTATTTAGAAAACCCCATCATCTCAGCCCAAAATCTCCTTAAGCTGATAAGCAACTTCAGCAAAGTCTCAGCATACAAAATCAATGTGCAAAAATCACAAGCATTCCTATACACCAATAACAGACAAACAGAGAGCCAAATAATGAGTGAACTCCCATTCACAATTACTACAAAGAGAATAAAATACCTAGGAATCCAGCTTACAAGGAATGTGAAGGACCTCTTCAAGGAGAACTACAAACCACTGCTCAACAAAATATAAGAGGACACAAACAAATAGAAGAATATTCCATGCTCATGGATAGGAAGAATCAATATCGTCAAAATGGCCATACTGCCCGAGGTAATTTATAGATTCAATGCTGTCCCCATCAAGCTACCAATGACTTTCTTCACAGAATTGGAAAAAAAACTACTTTAAAGTTCATATGGAACCAAAAAGAGCCCGCATTGCCAAGACAATCCTAAGCCAAAAGAACAAAGCTGGAGGCATCATGCTACCTGACTTCAAACTATACTACAAGGCTACAGTAACCAAAACAGCATGGTGCTGGTACCAAAACAGAGATATAGACCAATGGAACAGAATAGAGCCCTTGGAAATAATACCACACATCTACAACCACCTGATCTTTGACCAACCTGACAAAACAAGAAATGGTGAAAGGATTCCCCATTTAATAAATGGTGCTGGGAAAAGTGGCTAGCCATATGTAGAAAGCTGAAACTGAATCCCTTCCTTATACAAAAATTAATTCGAGATGGATTAAAGATTTAAATGTTAGACCTAAAACCATAAAAACCCTAGAAGAAAACCTAGGCAATACCATTCAGGACATAGGCATGGGCAAGGACTTCATGACTAAAACACCAAAAGCAATGGCAACAAAAGCCAAAATTGACAAATGGGATCTAATTAAACTAAAGAGCTTCTGCACAGCAAAAGAAACTACCATCAGAGTGAACAGGCAACCTACAGAATGGGAGAAAATTTTTACAATCTACCCATTTGACAAAGGGCTAATATCCAGAATCTACAAAGAACTTTAACAAGTTTACAAGAAAAAAATCAAACAACCCCATTAAAAAGTGGGCAAAGGATATGAACAGACACTTCTCAAAAGAAGACATTTATGCAGCCAACAGACACATGAAAAAAGGCTCATCATCACTGGCCATCAGAGAAATGCAAATCAAAACCACAATGAGATATCATCTCACATCAGTTAGAATGGCCATCATTAAAAGTCAGGAAAAACAGGTGCTGGAGACGATGTGGAGAAATAGGAAACTTTCACACTGTTGCTGTAAAATCACATGGGTGACTAGGTGCCTTGTCAATGAGTAGTTATATTTTGAGAAGAATATTTTCTGAGCAGTAGTAGGTCTCAGCAATGGGCTTAAAATATTTAGTAAACCATGCTGTAAATAGATGTGCTGTCATCCATCCAGGCTTTATTGTTCCATTTATAGAGCACAGGCAGAGTAGATTTAGCATGGATTTTCAAAATGATAGACGAACATTGGCTTCAACTTAAAGTCACCAGCTGCATTAGCACCTAGTAAGAGAGGTTTGAAGCTTTGAAGCCAGGCCTTGACTTCGCTCTAGCTAAGAAAGTCCTAGAAGGCATTTTCTTCTTCCAATAAGAGGTCTTTTTGTCTACATTAAAAATCAGTTGTTTGGTGTAGCCACCTTCATGAATGATTTTAACTAGATCTTCTGGGTAGCTTGCTGCAGCTTTTACATCAGCACTTGCTGTTTCACCTTGCAGGTTATGTTATGGGAATGGTTTCTTCTTTCCTTAAGCCTCATAACCAACCTCTGCTGGCTTCAAACTTTTCTGCAGCTTCCTCACCTTTCTCAGACTTCATTGAATTAAAGACAGTTAGGGTCTTGCTCTGGATTAGGCTTTGACTTAGAGAATGTTGGAGCTGCTTTGATTTTTTATCCAGACCACTCAAACTTTCTCCAAATCAGCAATAAGGCTGTTACACTGTCTTATCATTTTTGAGCTCACTAGAGTAGCAGTTTTACTTTTTTTAAGAACTTTTCCTTTGCTTTCCCAACTTGGCTGTTTGGCACAAGAGGCCTAGCTTTTGGCTTATCTCAGCTTTTGACATGCCTTCCTCACTAAGTCGATTGCTAGCTTTTGATTTAAAGTGAGTGATATGCAACTTTTCCTTTTACTTGAGTAATCAGAGGTCATTGTAGGATTATTAATTGGCCTAATTTCAATATTGTTGTAACTCAGGGAACAGGGAGGCCTGAGGAGACAGCAAGAGATTGGGGAATAGCTGGTTGGTACAGCAGTCAGAACACACACAACAGTTACTGAATATGTTCACCATCTTATGTGGGCATGGTTCATGGCACCCCTAAACAATGACAACAGTAACATCAAAGATCACTGATCACAGATTATCATAATAGATATAATAATAATGTTTGAAATATTGCAAAAAATACAAAAATGTGACACAGAGACTTTAAGTGAGCACACGCTGTTGGAAAAATGGCACAAATAGATGTGCTTTATACTCAGGGTTGCCACAAACTTTCAATTTGTCTTTAAAAAAGCATTATCCACAAAGCACAATAAAGAAATTTAAAAAGGTATATCTTTATTATTTATATAATTTAAGAGATAAAAAGAATTTTCTTTTTTTGAGACGGAGTTTCATTCTTGTTGCCCAGGCTAGAGTGCAATGGTGCAATCTCCACACACTGCAAACTCCGCCTCCTGGGTTCAAGAGATTCTCCTGCCTCAGCCTCCTGAGTAGCTGGGATTACAGGCATGCGCCACCACGCCCAGCTAATTTTTGTATTTTTAGTAGAGATGGGGTTTCTCCATGTTGGTCAGGCTGGTCTGCAACTCCCGACCTCAGGTTATCCACCCACCTTAGCCTCTCAAGTATTGGGATTACAGGCATGAGCCACCACGCCTGGCCAAGAATTTTTCACGTAGGAAGTAACATCACTTTTCATCAAGATTTTCCATATCAGCCTTTTTATTTAAATATCTCACAAGACTTCAAGGTCTATAAAAAATATTGCTCCAGGCACTGCTATTTAAGTTTAAAATAATCTGCAAATGAAGTACTCGTGCACTATATCTGTTTTTTAGAATGAGGAAATCACGCATTTTATGTTTGTTCCGTTTTAGCATTAACAAAAGAAAATAATTTTGCTATTACTTCCAGTTGAGTTGAACTTGAAACTTGGGCTGCTTTAATGTTCTTAAACTATAATTCATAAATGCTAATAAATGATTTGTAAGCAGTGGTTCTATAAAAAAGTATATCACCAAAATAACTTGGGAAATAAATTAGTGGATGTGTCTCATCAACAGACTGCTTACATACCATAATGACCATTTTTTCAAGAGTCATGATCTCTTTTTTCACTGCTTGAGTTGACATGCTGGGTGATAGTTACTAAATTGGAGTCAGAAGATCTCAGTGTGAACTCATGCTCTACTTAATCAGTCTTTGTGCTTTAGTTTCCTCCATAGAACTAGTTGTTCTGAGAACTGAAATTACTTTGTCAAATGTAAAGCACATACAGATGCAACCTAACAATATTAACTGGTATATGAGTACATTTCAACAGCTCAGCATTGACCACTCTGGCATATTTTCCCTGATTTTCATGGGGATTAACACAGGAATCACGTTTTATTCCAAGCAAACTTCTTGGTGACTTCAAAAAGTACTTACTCTTTTTGGGGCCTTCGTCTTCTAAGTAGAAAATTAAGGATATTTTACATTTGTCCCTTAAGACACATTCATAAATGTATGAATTAAATAAATTCATAAATTGAATGCAGCAATCAGTTCATAGGACAATCTTCCCCAAATCTGTTGCCAGGATATGCAACTCAGATCAAAATTCCGCATCAAAACTGCAACTCTTTCAATCTGAGTTACTTCCTCCATCAAAGTCTTGAGCCCCTCAAAGTCATCAAGTTAAAAACATATTTTAGCTACACACCAAACAAGTAAAGATTGGCTTTAATTGCTTGTGACTTATTTTCCCAAAGGTCAGTGAAGGCCAACTCCTCAGGTATAATCCAGAATATATCGTTATCCTTTCTGGGAGAATTTTCCTTAATGAGTCATTTCTAAGCATTGTCTCTTCCCAACACATTAGAGGAAACCTGCTTCTTACATATTTTAAGAAAAGACTTTGAAATGGTCCAGCAAAGGAAGAAAGCCTTACGATGTCTAGGAAGGAACTAGAAGTCTTGAAAAACATCTAATGGTTGGAATTACGCTGGGAGAGTTCCAATATTGGAACATGCAGGAGAGGATTCAGGGCACACTTGCTTCTTTTGTTGCCCACTGTCTCAGTCCATTAGGGCTGCTATAACAAAACATCATAAACTAGGTGGCTAATAAACAACAGGAATTTATGTTTCACTATTCTGGAGGCTGGGAATCCAAGATCAAAGCACTGATTGATGTGGTGTCGGGTGAAGGCCCATTTCCTGTTTAATAGATGGTCCTTCTCACTGTGTCTTCACAGGGTGGAAGAGGTGAGGGAGCTCTCCAGGGTCTTGTTCATAAGACTATTAATCCCATCATGAGGGCTGCACTCTCATGACCTGATCACCTCTCAAAGTTCCCACCTCCAAATAGCATCACATTGGTGATTAGGCTTTTAACATCTGAATTTTAGGGAGATATAAACATTCAGACCATGGCCCCCATGTAGAGCCGTTTTCCCATCAGGGGCCCCCATAAACTAATAAAGTCTTCTAGACACCCCTGAGAGCAGCTCAACTCAGCTAGTCATTGCTTCTCTACAAATCCCAGTAACATCAGTCTTCTCTCCCAGAACTTAACATATTGCTTCCATGTCACTTTCACCTCTTCACTCCAGGTACTTGGACTCATATCTGAATTGCTCATGAACAAAACCAAACCTTTAAAGGCTCAATATTTTCCAACAATGCATTAAGCTGGGAAACAAAACAGGGCAATATTAGGTTCCATTTCCATCTTACTGTCCACAGAGCTCCCCTTGATCATAACTCAAACAATGAGAGGAAAGGTAGGAAAAAAATGGCCCCATGTATATCAACTGCATGGACGAAGAGTGCTTAGTGGGGATTTGAGTATAGGGTCCCAATATATAATTTATAGGCCCTCTGGGGGTAGGAATAAAGAGAGTTAGGGGGAGGTTAGATAAGGCATTCTGGAGATAGTTTCACAAAGTTGTGTTTTGAAAGTAGACAGTTTTCTAGGTGTATAAGAGGAAGAATGGCATTCCAGGCAAATCAAACAGCACAGGGACAGAGGATATTCTTCCTCTTGTGACATAGAGTGTTCTGGCAACAATAGTAGTGTTGAGGGTATAATCACAATGTAAGGTCAATGGGGTTGGCAGGAGATAAGACAGGTCGGATGGCAAGGGCCAGATCATGAAAGGCCCCATAGGCTAAACTAGGCAGCTTGGATGTGGCTCCATAAGCAGTGCTCTGCCTCTGATATGTGTGGCACCACAGGGACACTCTAGCTCCATAAATGGAGCTGGAGGGGAGGGAAAAGGCCACAGTCAAATGACGACTTTGGAAATAGAGACTTTACATTTTTCCTTCTATAATCAGCTACATTATTAGATGTGTGATGAAAAATATCAATTCCTGATCAATTGTATTGCTGTATTTAGCAAATGTCTAGATAAAATACCTATCTTTAAAAACTGGCACTAGGAATGTGAGCTCTTGCATCCATGGGAGTCATTGAAGTTATTAAGGACAACCACTTAAACAGCTTTACTTCAAATCCAGGCTCTATGCTTATTCCTTTACCGGCTGTGGTATTATGAACAAGTTACTCCATTTTCTAACCTCTAAAGTGGAGGTAATAATATTATCTAACTCATAAGTTTATTGAGAGGATTAAATGAGACGGAGTATTAGCTTCCTAAGCTGCTGTAAGAAAGTACCACAAACTGGCTGGCCTAAAACAACAAAAACTCATTGTCTCAAAGTACTAGATGCTAGAAGTCTAAAATTAAGATGTTGGTAGGGCTATGCCCCTTCTAAAACCTGTAGGAGAGAATCCTTCCTGCCTCTTCTAGCCTTTGGCCTTTGTTGGCAATTTTTGATGTTCTTTGGCTTGTAAATGCATCTCTCCAATCTCTGCCTTTGTCATCACAGGACCATCATCTCCCTGTGTGTGTCTCTCTTTTTCATATAAAGACATCAGTCATATTGGGTTATACTACTCCAGTGTGACCTAATTAATTATGTCTGCAACTACCGTGTCTGCAAATGAATTTACATTTGAAAGGTACTGGTGCTTAGGACTTCAGTACATCTTTTTGAGGAGAAACAATTTAATCCATAAGAAATGGTATCTGAAAAGCCCTTGGCACTCAATAAACATTTACTATTATCATTAAGGAAGAAGAGAGCAACAATTATGATCCACATTCACACTGTAATATCTTGCACTTGGCAGGCACTTTGTAAAAATCGTTGATATGGTTTTGTATGAATTTATATTTTTATTTTAGGGGTTTAAATAAGCTCAGTGTGGCTTTCCATCAAATTAGAAACAGTATCCTTAAGTACAAGGAAGTATCACCGTCTACTTCTCTTGTGTGATCCAGAGTTGACAAAGATATCATATAATAAGAGTTTCAATGCCAAGCAAATGAATTAACACACCTTATAACCACAGCTCTATTGTTTTTGAAGTATGCACAATGTTATTAAATTTATTAAGCTGGTTATTAAGCTTATTTATTTTTGGAAGCAAAATGTCTGAGAATCTCACCTTCCTGAGGTGAGGATGCTTCAACTTTTTCAATAGCAGAATCCCTTACTAATATATAGAATTTAGTAAGATTTGTATGGTCCTGACAGGCTTCTCTATCAGCTATACCCTTTCCCACATTGTTATACATCTGGCATTGTTCATTTTCTATTCCCTAAAATGGAAAGGAGAAAAATGTCTTTCTTTGTTCATTTTGATAGTGATTTTGATAGTGATTTAATCATTTTGATAGTGATTTTAAAATACAAAAGATGGATGGGGACATACAAAAATTGAATTAAATCATAAGATTTATCAAGATGAAAATTTTCAATTCAGAATTAAATGGTCTTAGATGCTCTGAAATTTGTTGTAAGTAGAAAATCAGTTCAATTATCAGATTGGAAAGTATATATAAAAACACTTTTTATCAAATTCTTGTTATATTTTCTTAAATGTACTTTTAAAAGTTACTTCCAGGATAAACTGCAATTTTGTATCTCAAATGTCTTTCAAAATCAACCTATGGTAAAAGACAGGCTGCAAAAATTTAGGAACAGTACATTGACAAAGAAAATGTTAAATAAGTAGATTTAACCATTATATGCTAGCTTGAAGTAAATATATAATGGAAAGGAGCAAATGAGAAAGGATGGAAAAGAATGTAAAAAAGAAGAAAGTATTTGTATCTTCTGTTTGGGAAAAAAATATAGACATGGGAATTCAAGTAGAGAATGATGACCAAGCAGCTGTGGAAAAACATTTAGCTAACAAGAGAACTTCCACTGAATGGGAAGTCTAGGAATGTCGGAGGAGGAAGCTGGAGAAAGCAGCTGGATTATGAGGAAACTGTCATCAAGAGGCAGAAATCCTTCATCAAGGAATTTATACTCACTGTTAGTAGCTGTAGGTAAAATTCTAACGTCAGTTAGGAGAACCAAAGCTTAGAATAAAAATGCACTCTGTTAAAAGGTACAGGGCAGTTTACCTAAATGTACTCAGATATTTATCTTTTTTAAAACTTTGATCTCCAGTGGATTACAGACGTCATTCTGTCTGTTAGTGTCCTCTGGTAAGCCACAGAAGCTCTCTAGTTTCCACATATTGCCATTGATCATTTGTTTCTCTTTGGATGGTTCAGGGTGCACAAATCTAAAATCTAAAATTATACTATTCTGAATGTAGCAATTTGTTATTTTAATGGAGATAGATATAAATCTAAATATAGATATGTGATTCTGTGAATACATATACACTGTAGTAATATTAAAAATATTTTACAACCAGCTTAGGATCAACTAATTAGGACAGAGACTGGCTACAAATACCCAGTATGGTCATACTGGTGCATGCCTTCTGAGTATCAGCTCTGCAGGGAAAAAAAAAGCGGCAGGTAGACAGACAGACAGAAAGACAGACAGATTTGAGTGTAAATGTGGCTACTCATACTTCCAGTAAACCAAATCTATATTCACACCATAAAAATGCAATCCATGTGTTACTTACTGTTCACCTGGTTGTAATTTTCCTTAATTGTAGACCTAGTGAATAGGAGGAAATATATAACTTCTGGGAAGGAAAGGAGGAAGGAAAGAAGGGGCAACTGCATTTATAAATCATAATTCCTAGCTCTTAGCATAGGTCATGATTAGACTATAGATAGAACTTGGAATTGCTTGATAAGTACATACTTAGTCTCATCCTCTGACTTATATGGGAATTAAAGACTCTCTTGGGGAAAAAAATTTTGAATAACAAGTTATGTTTACATGTACACAGTTCAAAGACTCAGCTGATGGACCAGGATAAGAAGCAGGGGAACTGAGAGAATCTAGGTATGTCCTTAAGAAAGAATTCCCCCCTGGCTGGGCATGGTGGCTGCTCACACCTGTAATCCTAGCACTTTGGGAGGTAGAGGCAGGCAGATCACTTGAGGTCAGGAGTTTGAAACCAGCCTGCCCAAGATGGTGAAACCCTGTTACTACTAAAAATACAGAAAAATTAGCTAGGCGTGATGGTAGGCGCCTGTAATCTCTGCTACTCAGGAGGCTGAGGCAGGAGAATCCCTTGAACCCAGAAAATGGAGGTTGCAGTAAGCGGAGATCATGCCACTGCACTCCAGCCTGGGCAACAGAGAGAGATGGGAAGGGTAGGGGAGGGAAGGGAAGGGAAGGGAAGGGAAGGGGAAGGGAGGGGAGGGGAGGGGAGGGGAGGGGAGGGGAGGGGAGGGGAGGGGAGGGGAGGGGAGGGGAAGGGAATCCCTCTTGGAGAAGGAAGAGTCTGGCATTGGGCCATAATTATCTGGAAGGGAAAAGCAGTTTTGGATGTACCCTGCAGCACCATGCAACTGTCAGGCAGAGTCCCGGGAGGAAAAAAAAAAAGTAGCCTCTGGACTCTTCAGAGAGGGGCTTCTGAGCTGCATCCAGCATTACCTCCTGTGGGACTTGGCAATTATTTAAACTTTCTAGGTTTCAGTGTCTTTATCTGTAAAATGGGGATGGTAATGTTAACAGTCCTTGTATCATGGGGTGGTTGTGACAACGCATGTGGGAATTGCATATAAAGCCATTACAGAACTTAACACATACTAACTGTTGTTACCTGGAAGCTGAGGTGCCCTCTGAAAAGAAAAGGTGAGTTGTTTACTGGTGAACTAAAAAAAAATCTAACAACGATAAAAATAATAATAATAGCAATAATAATAACAACAGCCTCACTATATGATGTATCATTTAGGGATACGGCTAAGGGTGCCCCATCCCCAATCTACCCAGGCCTGTATTTTTGTTTCCCTCCTAAGAGAGTAATTTGGGCTTAGTTTTAGGGAATTCTGGGCTTCCCTCACTCTGGGGGAGAATGTGAAGCCTTTCATTTGAAAGCAGAGGATCCCAGAGCTGGACTGTCTTGGGGAAAAGAACTCCTCGCATTAAAAAAGAGGAGAACAACCTATCTGAGGGAAACAAAGAACATTGGAATACACCGATTCCCCAAATCCCACACATCAATGTTTTTAATTTAAAAGAATACACTATTATCAGGGAAGAACTTCTTTATAACAGTTTAAAGTTGCTCCATGTCACTCTAAAACAGATTTAAAAATGTTCCAACAAAGAAAAGGCCATGACCAGATAGCTTCACAGCTGAATTCTACCAAACATTTAAAGAAGAATTATTATGAACACTTCTTAAAATTTTCCAAAAACAGAGCTAAACACTTCCAAACACATTTTATAAGGTCAGCATCACCTTGATACTTAAGCCAGACAAAAACACTGCCAGAAAAGAAAACTACAGGCCAATATTTCTGATGAACATCAATGCAAAAGTCCTCAATAAAACATTAGCAAACTGAATTAAGCAACATATTGGAAAGATTATTCATCATGACCAAGTGGAATTTATCTCCAGTATGCAAGGCTGGTTTAATACATGCAAGTCAATCAATGTGATATATCACATAAACAGAACAAAAGATTAAAACCGCATGTTCATCACAATTGATGCAGAAAAAGCATTTGACAAATTTTAGCATCCTTTCTTGATGATTCTTTTTAAATTATTATACTTTAAGTTCTAGGGTACATGTGCACAACGTGCAGGTTTGTTACATAGGTATACATGTGCCATGGTGGTTTGCTGCACCCCTCAACCCGTCATGTACATTAGGTATTTCTCCTAATGCTATCCCTCCCCTAGCCCCACACTCCCCAACAGGCCCCAGTGTGTGATGTTCCCCTCCATGTGTCCATGTGTTCTCATTGTTCAACTCCCACTTATGAGTGAGAACACATGGTGTTTGGTTTTCTGTTCTTGTCTTAGTTTGCTGAGAATGATGGTTTCCAGCTTCATCCATGACCCAGCAAAGGACATAAACTCATCCTTTTCTCTGGCTGCATAGTATTCCAGGGTGTATATGTGCCACATTTTCTTTATCCAGTCTATTATTGATGGGCATTTGGGTTGGTTCCAAGTCTTTGCTACTGTGAACAGTGCCACAATAAACATACGTGTGCATGTGTCTTTATAGTAGAATGATTTATAATCCTTTGGGTATATACCCAGTAATGGGATTGCTGGGTCAAATGGTATTTCTGGTTCTAGATCCTTGAGGAATCACCATAGATTGCAAAAATTTTCCCCCATTCTGTAGGTTGCCTGTTCACCCTGATGATAGTTTCTTTTGCTGTGCAGAAGCTCTTTAATTAGATCCCATTTGTCTATTCTGGCTTTTGTTGCCATTGCTTTTGGTGTTTTAGTCATGAAGTCTTTGCCCATTCCTATGTCCTGAATGATATTGCCTAGGCTTTCTTCTAGGGTTTTTATGGTTTTGGGTCTTACATTTAAGTCTTTAATTCATCTTGAGTTAATTTTTGTATCAGATGTAAGGAAGGTGTCTAGTTTCAGTTTTCTGCATATGGCTAGCCAGTTTTCCGAACATTATTTATTAAATAGGGAATCCTTTCCCCATTGCTTGTTTTTGTCAAGTTTGTCAAAGGTCAGATGGTTGTAGATGTGTGGCATTATTTCTGAGGCCTCTGTTCTGCTCCATTAGTTTATATATCTGTTTTGGTACCACTACTATGCTGTTTTGGTTACTGTAGCCTTGTAGTATAGTTTGAAGTCAGGTAGCATGATGCCTCCAGCTTTGTTCTTTTGGCTTAGGATTGTCTTGGCTATACGGGTTCTTTTTTGGTTCCATATGAAATTTAAAATAGTTTTTTCTAATTCTGTGAAGCAAGTCAATGGTAGCTTGATGGGAATAGCATTGAATCTTTAAATTACTTTGGGCAGTATGGCCATTTTCATGAAATTGATTCTTCCTATCCATGAGCATGCAATGTTTTTCCATTTGTTTTTGTCCTCTCTTATTTCCTTGAGCAGTGGTTTGCAGTTCTCCTTGAAGAGGTCCTCCACATCCTTTGTAAGTTGGATTCCTAGGTATTCAATTCTTTATGTAGCAATTGTGAATGGGAGTTCACTCATGATTTGGCTCTCTGTTTGTCTGTTATTGGTGTATAGGAATGCTTGTGATTTTTGCACATTGATTTTGTATCCTGAGACTTTGCTGAAGTTGCTTATCAGCTGAAGGAGATTTGGGGCTGAGACAATGGTGTTTTCTAAATAGACAATCATGTCATCTGCAAACAGAGACAATTAGACTTCCTCTCTTCCTATTTGAATACCCCTTATTTCTTTCTCTTGCCTGATTTCCCTGGCCAGAACTTTCAATACTATGTTGAATAGGAGTGGTGAGAAAGGGCATCCTTGTCTTATGCCGGTTTTCCAAGGGAATACTTCCAGTTTTTGCCCATTCAGTAAGATATTGGCTGTGGGTTTGTCATAAAAAATAGCTCTTATTATTTTGAGATACATTCCATCAATGCCTAGTTTGTTGAGAGTTTTTAGCACGAAGGGGTGTTGAATTTTATCGAAGGCCTTTTCTGTATCTATTGAGATAATCATGTGGTTTTTGTCATTCTGTTTATGTGATGGATTATGTTCTTCCTGGTTTAGTCTTAGGAGGGTGTATGTGTCCAGGAATTTATCCATTTCTTGTAGATTTTCTAGTTTATTTGCATAGAGTTGTTTATAGTATTCTCTGATGGTAGTTTGTATTTCTGTGGAATCAGTGGTGATATCCCCTTTATCATTCTTTATTGTGTCTACTTGATTCTTCTCTCTTTTCTTCTTTATTAGTCTGTCTAGCAGTCTATCTATTTTGTTAATCTTTCCAAAAAACTAGCTCCTGGATTCATTAATTTTTTGAAGGATTTTTTGTGTCCCTATCTCCTTCAGTTCTGCTCTAATCTTAGTTATTTCTTGTCTTCTGCTATCTTTTGAATTTGTTTACTCTTGCTTCTCTAGTTCTTTTAATTGTGATGTTAGGGTGTCAATTTTAGATCTTTCCCACTTTCTCCTGTGTGCAATTAATGCTGTGAATTTCCCTCTAAACACTGCTGTAGCTGTGTCCCAGAGATTCTGGTACGTTGTGTCTTTGTTCTCATTGGTTTCAAATAACTTAATTATTTCTGCCTTAATTTTATTATTTACCCAGTAGTCATTCAGGAGCAAGTTGTTCAGTTTCCATATAGTTGTGCAGTTCTGACTACAGATAGTATGAACCATGTGTAGTGAGCTCCTGTCTACTTTCCCACTGTTTGTCAACCCAGGTCTTATCATTTTTCTTTCCAAATGCACTGGGTTCTGTGGTGATGTGACTGGTGTCCCCCTGCGATATTCCTCTGTGGCCCCTTGTAATAAATGTGCATTCCTTCAGATCAGCTAAACACTATTGTCTTAGAGTTAAAAAAATAAAATTAATACAAGCCATAAACAAAACAAAACAAAACAAAACAAAAAATGCCAGCTAAGGGTGTTATTCTTCCATCTTTTAGGACAGGGAAGATTTTAAATTATAAAACAAAAACATAAACCAATGGAACATAATATAGAGTACAGAAATAAATTTAAACATGTAGGGTGCTATGGTTTGAGTGTGTTCCCCAAAAGTTTCTATGTAAGAAGCCTCATCTTCAATGTAGCAGAATTGTGATGTGAGGCCTACTGGGAGGTATTTATTTGGATAATGGGAGCAGATCCCTCATGAATAGACTAATGCCATATTTCAGGAGTGAGTGATTTCTCGTTCTTGTAGAAATGGATTTGTACCTGCAAGAGTAGGTTTTTTGTTTGTTTGTTTGTTTGTTTGTTTGAGATGGAGTCTCACTCTGTCACCCAGGGCTGGAGTGCAATGGCGTGATCTCAGCTCACTGAAACCTCCACCTCCCTGGTTCAAGCGATTCTCCTGCCTCAGCCTCCCGGAGAGTAGGTTGTTATAAAGCAAGGTTGTCTCTAGTGTTTGGCCTCTTTTGGCATGCCTGCTTCCCCTTCTACTTCTCTGCCATGTTATGAGGTGGCACAAGGCCCTCAACAGAAGTCAAGGAGATGCTGGCACCATATTCTTGGACTTTCTTTCTAGTCACCAGAATTGTGAGCCAAATAAACCTCTTTTCTTTGTAAATTAACAAGTCTCAGGTATTCTGTTATAGCAAAACTAAATGGACTAAGATATGTGGACAACTAATTTTTGACAAGGGTACCAAGAAGACACAATGGGGAAAGGGTGCTCTCTTCAATAAATTGTGGTGGGAAAACTGAATTAAACTGGACTCTTATCTTATACCATACTTAAAAATCAACTTGAAATGGATAAAAGACCTAAATGTAAGACTGAAACCATAAAACTCCTAGAAGAAAACATAGGGGAAAATTCCTTGACATTGACCTTGGCAGTAATTTTTTGGTTATCACACAAAAGCTTAAGCTACAAAATCAAAAATAAGTAAATGGGACGACATCAAGCTAAAAAACTTCTGCACAGTAAAGGAAACAATCAACAAAATGAAAAGGCAACCTACGAACTGGGAAAAAATAATTGTAAACCACATATTTGATAATGGTTTAATATCTAAAATTTATAAAGAACGCTTATAACTCAATAGCAGAAAAACAAATAACCCAATGAAAATATGGGTAAAAGATCTTAACAGACAATTCTCCAAAGATGACATAAAAATGGCCAACAGGTTTATGAAAATAATTATAATCACTAATTATACAGAAAATGCACATTAAAACCACTATGAAATATTACCTCACACTCGTAAGGATGACTATTACCTAAAAGACAAGAAATAACAAATGTTGGCAAGGGCCTCAAGAAAAGGGACACTTAATACATTGTTGGTGGGAATATAGATAGGTACAGCCATTATGGAAAACAATATGGAGGTTCCTAAAGAAATTAAAAATAGAACTATCATATGGCCCAGCAACCCCTCATCTGGATATATACCCAAAGGAGGTGACATCACCACCTTGTAAAGATATCTGCACTCCCATGTTCATTCCAGTATCATTCACAATAGCCAAGATATAGAAACAATCTAAATGTCCACTGATGAACAAATAGATAAAGAAAATGTGGCATGTGTACACACACACACAGTGGAATATTATTCAACCTTAAAAAGAAGGAGATTCTGCCATTTGCCACAACATGCATGGACCTAAAGGACAAAATGCTGAGTGAAATAAGCCAGATACAGAAAGAAAAGTATGGTATGATCTCACCTGCCTGTGGAATATATTTGTAAAAAGAGGTTCAAATACATAGAGCCAGACAGTGAAACAGTGGTTACCAAGAGTCGGGGGAGTGGCAGGAAATAGGGAGATGCAGGACAAAGGATACAAAGTAGCAGGTATGTAGAATGAAAAAGCCTAAAGAGCTAATATACAACATGAAGACTAAAGTTAATAAAATTGTATTGCATTAGGGATTTTTGTTAAATAAGTAGATTTTAGCTGTTCTTGTCACAAAAAAGCAACTATGTAAGATGACAGATATGCTAATCTGCCTCACTATAGTAACCATTATACTATCTACATGTATCCCCAGATTGTCTCTTGGATAGGTTTCCAAGGGGGATTAGTTCCAGGACCTCCATGGACACCAAAATCTGCAGATGCTCAAGTCCCTGATATAAATGGTGTATTATCTGAATATAACCTAAGCGCATCCTCCTGTATACTTTAAATCATCCCTAGATTACTTATAATACATAACACCACGTAAATACTATGTAAATAGTTGCTATGCTGTGTTGGTTTTAAATTATTTTTATTGTTGTATTGCTATTTATTATTATTATTTTTCAATATTTTTTATCTGTGGTTGGTTGAATCTGCAGATATGAAACTCGAGAATACAAAGGGCGAATGGTATACTCAAAAAAAAATTTTTTAAATACAGGTTTTAAGGACCAACTTGGGAGTTATCACAGGGTTGAGGAAACAAGAGCGACCTAGAGAACAACTGAGGCCCCATAGCACTGCCAAGGATCTGAGTCACAAGTCAAGGATGTCACAGAACCCAAGAAAGTATGGGTTTCTTCTAGAAGTTAGAAGATGGAACTGGGATCAAAGTCAAACAGAATTGAATTCTGTTTGATCAGCATCCAGAAACAACACAGGAGTTGGCTGGCCAACCCTAGATGTACGCAGTTTGCTGGCTTCCTCAACAATGGGGCCAATAAACATCTCACCCTCTGAGATGGACCACTCTCACAATATAGGGCTTAGCTTGCCCTGAAGGATTGGAAAGAAGGAAGGAGTCTGCAGAAGATCACTTTTAAAAGACCAGAGTTATAAATTGCTTAAATTATTAATCTATAAGTTTATTATTTTGCGTTTTTTCCCAACGTCACGCATTGGGGGAAAAAATGGGATATAAAAAATGATGAATGCTAATAATAACTCAAAGCCACTACTTTAAATTATTTTAAATGTCATAAGCAAGTTTTCAGAATTAATAAGTCAGAAATGTATGCATGTTTCCATCAAGAGTTAAATACATAGTTTGGAGTGAAAATGAACAGCTATGAGATGTTTAATTACAAAAATATTTTTTGTGTGAGAGGATTCACTTTTGGTCTTGAAATGTAAAATTTGGCATTTTTATTTTTAGTCTACTTGATGTCCTTATGTGACCAGTGAGTTTATGTGTAAAAACAGTTACCATGGTGGCCAGAGACCTCCCTTTCTACGTAGATGAAATGTGAGTAGCAACGTTTTAGACCCATTGTTTTCAACTATGTTCCTTTTAAATGTGTCTTCCCTCTAATATTACAGCATAAAGATGATCCACAATGCACTTAAACTCTTTCCTTTTAATATCAAGATGACTCAGCCACCCTGTCCTGTACATAATAAGGTTGCAACATTTACAGATTACTCCTGTCAACTAAAAAGTGGTTAAAGTGAAAATTACCCAGTCCTGGCAGACATTCATGTGACCTAAGATTTGGTTTTTTTCTTAGGATTTATAACCTCGACAGTTAATTTTGCAGGCCTCTTTTAAAGCCTGTATTTTAGCACAAATTGACATTTAAGCAGCTTTTTAAAGCTCTAGTATAAAAATGTTAACACCGTCTGGGTTTTTTCCTATTAACATCACTTATTATTTATTATCATAGTTAGAGAAGTGAATCATTAATTTTCCCCTTTTCAACATTTTCTTGGGAATTGGAGGCAGTGGAGAAGACAGGACATCCTCAAATTTATTCCCTTCTTTAAAAAGAAAAAAATAAACTACTTAGATTAACATTAAAATCTTTTGTACAAAAAAAAAAAAGACAATGCAAAATGAAGACAAGCCACCAACTGGGAGTTGTAATACATTTAACAAAGGGCTAGTGTCCAGAGTATAGGTATGTTAATATATACAACTACAAATTATTAAGGAAAAGGTAAACTGCCAGTATGAAAATGGGAAGCAATATGAACTAGCAACTTGCAAAAGAGAGAGTTTGAATGGCATATTAAAAGATGCTCAATCTTTCCAGTAATTAGAAAAAATCAGATTAACACAATGAAATGCCATTTTATGCTCATAAGACTGGCAAAGATGTAAATGTCTAAGGGAGGAGGATAGTGCTGTGAATTAGTTTTGTGTGCTCAATATTTGCTGGGCCCTCACTTCCAGTCCAACAGCCACAACACCGTCCAGGCAAATGGCTCCTGGGCTTGGAAGGTGTGAGCTCTGGCCAGTCCTGAAGGAAAGAGGTGAGCCCAAGGAGCACCCAGGGACCCAAGGAGAAAGTCCTAGGAGGAAGAGCAGACCAGTAGCTGAGGCTTCTAGGGAAAAATTGGCCTGTAGAGATCTGTGTTCCCTGGCTAAGGACTGCTATTCTTTCTGTCCCCTGAGGAACTTCAGAGGAGTCATTCAGGTACCCAAATCTTCCTTTCCTAAAAGATGGAAGAATAACACCCTTAGCTGGCATTTTTGGTTTTATTTTGTTTATGGCTTGTATTAATTTTAATTTTATTGTTTAACTCTAAGAGCATAGTGTTTAGCTGATCTGAAGGAATGCACATTTATTACAAAGGGCCACAGAGGAATATCACAGGGGGACATCAGTCACATCACCATAGAGCCCAATCCATTTGGAAAGAAGAATGATAAGACCTGGGTTGACAAATAATGGGAAAGTAGACAGGAGCTCACTACACATGGTTCATACTATCTGTAGTCATATACAAAACATCATCAAAACTGGGAGACATCTTCCATTACAAGATGAAGTCCGTGTATCCTCACTTCCCCAACTATGTTATTATTCAGGAGAGTAGGTATCTTGAAATCTAAAATTGGTCATATATACACACACACACACACACATACACATACACATATGTGTGTGTGTGTGTGTGTGTGTGTGTGTATATATATATATATATATATACACACAAGTTTTGGATAAGGCCAGGCCATTACTTGTTCAATGTCTGAAGCCCAGAAAAATGAGTTAACTCTTGAAAGAAACAACTTTAAACTGTATTGAATTCAGCTGCTTCAATTCAACAAGCCCTGATAGTTGAGACCAAGGATATCAGAGAGGTTTCTAATAGTGTCTGTCTATAATAAAGGAATGGTTCAGCAGGCAGATGAATACCATCTGGGAGCTGCTCAGCTAAGGGAACAATGAGATGCTGAATGGTACTTAGGACCTATTGTGGTATTTAAAGAACACAGTCGAATTCGTCTAATGAAAAACAGATGTGAAGAGACAGTAAAGGCATTTGAGACATTTAAAATCATTTTTCTAAGTAATCCTTGCATTAAAGGAGAAGTTACATCTAAAATTACTAATAAAAATGAGCATCAATGAGAAGACTGCATTTCCTGTCTATGGCATGGGACCAAAGCAATACTCAGTAGAAACGCACAGCCTTAAGTGCATTTTTTAGAAAACAAGACAGACAGAAAATGAATGCGTTAAGCTTTCAACTCATGATGATAATAAAAAGAACAAAACAAAAAATTATAAATGAATTTTAAAAGATAAAAACAGAAATAGATTAAATACAAAATAACCCCTCAAAGGCAGACTGGATTAATTAAGATAAAGTTAGTTCTTTAAAAAGCCCAATAAAACTCAGAAGCCTCTGGCAATTCTCTCCAGACAGAGAAAGAAACAGAGAGAGAGAGAAGAACAGAAATAAGAATGCAAACATAGCCAAGGATGCAAATAATACTTATGAAACCACAAAAGAATCTATCTAATACTTATATCAATAAATCTAAAATTTTAGAGGAAATAATTGTTAGGGATGCATAGATTATTAAAGGAATATCAGAGAAAATGTACAACTGAATAGCCAAATAGCCACAGAAAAGACTTGAAAACATGGTTTTTAAAAACCTACTGTACAAAAAAGGGCATCAGTCCCAGACCATTGTGTGAGTGAGTTCTACAACCTTTAAAGGAAAGATATTTTTTCAAGTTTGACCTAATTCGTTTCAGGGTATTGAATTGATATAAAATTTCCTTATTTTTTCTATAAAGCTAGCACAACACCAAATTGAACAAAGACTATCCAAAATAACCTTTTTCTAAATCTCACATAAGATTATAAAAGGAAAAGTCTTCTTAAAAGATTACAAATCAAAAGTAGCAACATATTACAATAATATATCATAACCAAGTAGAACTTTTTACAAGAATGAAAGGGTGGTTAAATGATTAAATAATAAGAAATGTATTCATTTAATTTCTTATATAAATAAACAAAACCAGAAAATCTATTTGATTCATGCAATAATAGGTGCTGAAAAGGGAGTTGATAAAATTCCAAAACTACTCCTGAAATAAACTCAGTATATTAGTCCAGGTTCTCTGGAGGGACAGGACTAATAGGATAGATGTATATAGGAAAGGGAGCTTATTAGGGGGTATTGACTTACACGATCACAAAGTGAAGTCTCACAATAGGCTGTCTGCAAGGTGAGGAGCCAGGAAGCCATGCCAAGTCCCCAAAACCTCAAAAGTTGAGAAGCCAACAGTGCAGTCTTCAATCTGTGGCTGGAGGCCCGAGAGCCCCTGACAAACCACTGGTGTAAGTCCAAGAGTCCAAAAGCTGAAGAACTTGGAGTCTGATGTCTGAGGGCAGGAAGCATCCAGCACAGGAGAAAGATGAATGCCAGAAGACTCACCCAGTCTAGTCCTTCCACAATCCTCTGTCTGCTTTTATCCTAGCCGCACTGGCAGCTGATTAGATGGTACCCACCCAGATTGAGGGTGACTCTGCCTCTCCCAGTCCACTGACTCAAATGTTAATCTCCTTTGGCAACACCCTCACAGACACACCCAGAAACAATACTTTGCATCCTTCAATCTAAACAAGTTGACCCTAAATATTAACCACCACACTCAATAATCTAGGAATAGCATGAGAATAGGAATAGAATGAAAATAGCATGAGAATTTTTGCACATTGATTTTGTATCCTGTGATTTTGCTGAAGTCACTTATCAGCTTAAGAAGCTTTTAGGCTGAGTTTAAGAAGCTCAACCATTGAGATAACGGGATTTTCTAGATATAGAATCCTGTCATCTGCAAACAAAGATAGTTTGACTTCCTCTTTTCCTATTTGAATACACTTTATTTCTTTTTCTTGCCGATTGCCCTGGCCAGAACTTTCAACACTATGTTGAATAAGAGTGGTGAGAAAGGGCATCCTTGTCTTGTGCTTCTAGAAGGGAAATGCTTCTAGCTTTTGGCCATTCAGTATGGTGATATTGGCTGTAGTTTGTCATATATGGTTCTTATTATTTTGAGGTATGTTCTTTCAATACCTAGTTTATTGAGAGATTTTAACATGAAGGGATGTTGAATTTTATCAAAGGCCTTTTTTGCCTCTATTGAGATAATCATGTGGTTTTTGTCTTTAGTTCTGTTTATGTGATAAGTCATATTTATTGATTTGCACATGTTGAACCAACCTTACATCCTGGGATGAAGCCTACTTGATTGTGGTGGATAGGGTTTTGATATGCTGCTGGATTCAGCTTGCCAGTATTTTGTTGAGGGTTTTTGCATTGATATTCATCAAGGATATTGGCCTGAAGTTTTCTTTTTTATTGTATCTCTGCCAGGTTTTGGTATCAGGATGATGCTGGTCCCTTAGAATGAGTTAGAGAGGAGTCCCTCGTCAATTGTTTGGAATAGTTTCAGTAGGAATGGTACCAGCTCTTCTTTGAACCTCTGGCAGAATTCAGCTGTGCATCCATCTGGACCTGGGCATTTTTTGGTTGGTAGGATATTTATTACTGCCTCAATTTCAGAACTCATTATTGGTCTATTCAGGGATTCAATTTCTTCCTGGTTCAGCCTCGGGAGGGTGTATGTGTCCAGGAATTTATCCATTTCTTCTAGATTTTCTACTTCATTTGCATGGAGGTGTTTATAGTATTCTCTGGTGGTTGTATTTCTGTGGGGTCAGTGGTGATACCCTTCTTATCATTTCTAATTGTGTTTATTTGAGTCTTCTCTCTTTTCTTCTTTATTAGTCTAGCAGTTTATCCATTTTGTTAATTTTTTCAAAAAACCAGCTTGTGGATTCACTTATTTTTTGAAAGTTTTTGTTTGTTTGTTTGTTTTTTGTTGCTCTATCTGCTTCAGTTCAGTTCTGCTATTGGTTATTTCTTGTCTTCTGCTAGCTTCGAGGTTTGTTTGCTCTTGGTTCTCTAGTTCTTTTAGTTGAGATGTTAGGTTGTTAACTTGAGCTCTCTCTAGCTTTTTGATGTAGGCATTTAGTTCTATAAATTTCGCTCTTAACTCTGCTTTAGCTGCTTCCCAGAGATTCTGGTATATGGTATATTTGTTCTCATTAGTTTCAAAGAACTTGATTTCTGCCTTAATTTCATTATTT
Organism: Homo sapiens; assembly: GCF_000001405.40. Lineage (NCBI taxonomy): Eukaryota > Metazoa > Chordata > Mammalia > Primates > Hominidae > Homo > Homo sapiens. Next base: position 112,591,409 of record NC_000007.14, on the reverse strand, counting down.
ACCCAAAAGTCATTCAGGAGCAGATTTTTGAATTTCCATGTAGTTGTGTGGTTTGGAGTAAATTTTTTTTTTTTTTTTTTTTTTTTTTTTTTTTGAGACAGAGTCTCGCTCTGTCACCAGGCTGGAGTGCAGTGGCATGATCTCGGCTCACTGCAATCTCTGCCTCAAGCGATTCCCCAGCCTCAGCCTCCCGAGTAGCTGGGACTACAGGCATGCATTACCACACCCAGCTAATTTTTGTATTTTTAGTAGAGACGGGGTTTCACCATGTTGGCCAGGATGGTCTCGATCTCTTTTTTTTTTTTTTTTTTTGAGGTGGAGTCTCACTCTGTCGCCCAGGCTGGAGTGCAGTGGCGTGATCTCAACTCACTGCAAGCTCCACCTCCCAGGTTCACGCCATTCTCCTGCCTCAGCCTCCCAAGTAGCTGGGACTACAGGCGCCTGTCACCACATCTGGCTAATTTTTTTGTATTTTTAGTAGAGATGGGGTTTCACCGTGTTAGCCAGGATGGTCTTGATCTCCTGACCTCGTTATCTGTCCTCCTTGGCCTCCCAAAGTGCTGGGATTACAGGCGTGAGCCACCGCGCCTGGCTGGTCTCGATCTCTTGAACTTGTGATCTGCCTGCCTCGGCCTCCCAAAGTGCAGGAATTACAGGTGTGAGCCACCGAGCCCGGCCTGGAGTCAATTTCTTAATCTTGAGTTCTAATTTGATTACACTGTGGTCTGAGAGACTGTTTGTTATTATTTCAGTTCTTTTGCATTTACTGAGGAGTGTTTTACTTCCAATTATGTGATCAACTTTAGAGTAAGTGCCATGTGGTGATGAGAAAAATGTATATTCTGTTGATTAGGGATGGAGCATTCTGTAGATATCTATCAGGTCCACTTGATCCTGAGCTGAGTTCAGGTCCTGAATATCTTTGTTAATTTTCTGTCTCTATGATCTGTATATTATCAGTGGGGGGTGTTAAAGTCTCCCACTGTTATTGTGTGGAAGTCTGTCTCTTGAAGGTCTCTAAGAACTTGCTTTATGAATCGGGGTGCTCCCATATTGGGTGCATATATATTTAGGATACCTAGTTATTCCTGTTTAATTAAACCCTTTACCATTATGTAATGCCCTTCTTTGTCTTTTTTGTGGTTGCAAGTCTGTTTTGTCAGAAACTAGGATTGTAACTCCTGCTTTTTTCTGTTTTCCATTTGCTTGGCAAATTTTCCTCCATCCCTTTATTTTGAGCCAATGTGTGTCTTTGCACGTGAGATGGGTCTCTTGAATACCTCACACCTATGGATCTTGGCTCTATCCAGCTTGGCACTCTGTGTCTTTTAATTGGGACATTTAGTCCATTTACATTTAAGGTTAATATTGTTTTGTGTGAATTTAATCTTGTCATCATAATGCTAGCTGGTTATTTTGCAGACTTGTTTATGTTGTTGCTTCAGAGTGTCACTGGTCTGTGTACTTCAGTGTGTTTTTATAGTGGCTGGTACAGGTTTTTCCTTTCCATATTTAGTGCTTCCTTCAGGAGCTCTTGCAAGGTAGGCCTAGAGATGATGAATTCTCTCAGCATTTGCTTGTCTGAAAATGATTTTATTTCTCCTCCACTTTTGAAGCTTAGTTTGGCTGGATATGAAATTCTGGGTTAGAAATTCTTTCTTCAAGAATGTTGAATATTGGTCCCCAATCTCTTCTGGCTTGTAGGGTTTCCACTGAGAGGTACACTGTTAATCTGATAGGCTTCCCTTTGTAAGTGACCTGGCCTTTCTGTCTGACTGCCCTTAAGATTTTTTCTTTTATTTTGACTTTGGAGAATGTGATGATTATGTGTCTTGGGGATGATCTTCTCACGGAGTATCTTACTAGGGTTCTAGGCATTTCCTGAATTTGAATGTTGGCCTGTCTTACTAGGTTGGGAAAGTTCTGCTGGATGATATCCTAAAGTATGTTTTCCAACTTGGTTCCATTCTCCCCGTCTCTTTCAGGTACCCCAATCAGTCTTAGATTTGGTCTCTTTACATAATCCCCTATTTCTCGGAGGTTTTATTCATTCCTTTTCATTCTCTTTTCTCTATTTTTGTCTGCCTGTCTTAATTCTGAAAATCAGTCTTCAAGCTCTGAGAGGTTTTCCTCTGCTTGGTCTATTCTGCTGTGAATACTTGTGATTGCACTGTGATGTTCTTGTGTGTTTCTCAGCTCCAATGGGTCAGTTACATTCCTTTCTAAGCTGGCTATTTTGCCTGTCAGCTCCTGTATTATTGCAATTCTTAGCTTCTTTGTGTTGGGTTACAACATGCTTCGTTAACTCAGTGATGTTTGTTATTATCCACATTCTGAAGCTTACTTCTGTCATTTCAGCCATCTCAGCCTTGGCACAGTTCTGAGCCCTTGCTGGAGAGGTGTTGTGGTCATTTGGAGGTAAAAGGGCACTCTGGCTTTTTGAGTTTTCAGCATTTTTGTATTGATTCTTTCTCATCTTTGTGGGCTTATCTATCTTTGATCTTTGATGTTGCTGACCTTCAGATTGGTTTTTTTGTGGGTTTTATATAGTTTATGATGCTGTTTTCTGTTTGTTTGTTTTTCTTTTAATAGTCTGGCCACTCTTTCATAGGACTGCTGTGGATTTCTGGGGTCCGCTCCAGACCCTAGTTGCCTAGGTTTTTCCCATACCTGGAGGTATCAGCAGGGAAGACAGTGAAACAGCAAAGATGGCAGCCTGCCCCTTCTTCTAGAAGCTTTGTCCCGGGTGGTTCTGACCTATTGCTGGCCCAAACGTGTCTATAGGAGGCAGCTGGAGACCGCAGTTGAAAGGTTTCACCCAGTGAGGAGGAACAGGCTCAGGGACCTGCTTAAAGAAGCAGTCTGGCTGATTTTTGTTAGAGCAACTATGCTATGCTGGGGATCCCTTCAGCCCCCAATCAGTTTGGGCTTTCCGAGGCCCATAGGCTGAACCAGTTGAGAAGCCCAAAAAGCCAAGGTGGTGGCCTGCCCCATCCCTCAGGCACTCCATCCTAGGGAGAACTTAGAGCTCTGTCAGTCCCATAGAACACAGGTGGGGGTGGCCAGAGGCCATGGCTGGGAGGACCTACCCTGCAAGGAGGAGTGGATCAGCGTCCTGCTTAAAAGACGTAGTCTGGCCATGCCTCAACAAAATAACTGTGTCATGGTGGGGTACCACTTCTGCCCCCTTGGCTTGGACTCTCCAAAGCCCGCAGGCTGGAATGGCTGAATCATACAACCAACCCAGTTGGCGGCCCTCCCCTCACCTAGGCACTCCATCCCAGGGAGAGATCAGAGCTCTGTCTATAATACATGTGGGTGTGTGTGGCTGGAGGGCCCAGCTGGGAGGTCCTGCCCAGTGAGGAGGAATGGATAGGGGTCCCGCTTAAAGAAGCAGTCTGGCCACAATCTAACAAAGCTGCTGTGCTGTGCTGCACTGCTTGGGGGACCCTTCCTTGTCCAGACCATCCGGACTCTCCAAAGCCAGCAGGCCAGAATGGCTGAGCTGACTAAACAGTCGAGATGGTGCCCACCTCTCTGCCTGGGGACTCTGTCCTTTTTCAAGCAGGCTCCATCCTGTTGCTGGTGGCTGGCTGAAATTCCAAACCAGTGGGTCTTATCTTGTGAGGTGTTGTGAAAGTGGGGCCTATAGGATGATGCCACTCAGTTCCCTGGATTCCGCCCTCTTCCTGGGGCTATGTGTGGACCTCCCACCTTGACTTCATTGCAGACGCATTTGTTGGGGCTCCTGGGGCTGGAGTATGTAAAGCTCCTGGGTCTCTGTGCATGCCTGAGCAGCTGCTTGCCAAGACTCCACACAGCTCTGTATGTCGGACCTGAGGCCCTGGTGATGTGGGCTCACAAGGGGATCTCTCCTGATCCTAGGGGTGCAAATATCCATGAGAGAAGTGGGGTTTCCCAAGCCTTGGAATAAACATCATAAGAAATTATCAGAAAAAAAATCAAAACTTTATTAAAAAATGTTTAAAGACTTAATTAAGTGGAACATCACATTATGCACAGTATGTTTCTGGATATACTATTTTTCCAGTTGTATAAGTAGGGCAAATTATTTAACCTATGTCTTCTTTCCCTTGTCTGTGAAATGAAAAGGAAAACAGTATATATTTCATTAGGTTGTTATATGGATTAAATGAATTAACTTATATAAAGTATAATGTCATTTTCTGCTATTATCACTAATAAAAATATGTCAAAAATAAAAATAGTTAACTTATGTAAAGTATAATGTCATTGTTTGCTGTTATTAGTAATAAAAACAAGTCTTCTCAATTTATAATTTCAATGCAGTTTTAAATAAAATGCCAAAAATATTTTAATGGATCATGAAAAATTAACTCTTTAGTTCATCTGCAAATATGAATGTTAAAAATTACCTATGAAAGGCCAGGCACAGTGGCTCACGCCTGTAATCCCAGCACTTTGGGAGGCTAAGGCGAGGGGATCACGAGGTCAGGAGATCGAGATCATCCTGGCTAACACGGTGAAACCCCATCTCTACTAAAAATACAAAAAATTAGCCAGGCGTGGTGGCGGGCGCCTGTAGTCCCAGCTACTTGGGATGCTGAGGCAGGAGAATGGCGTGACCCGGGGAGGCAGAGCTTGCAGTGAGCTGAGATAGCGTCACTGCACTCCAGCCTGGGCGAAAGAGCGAGACTCCGTCTCAAAAAAAAAAAATATTACCTATGAAAATGTATGAGTATGACAGGGAACTTGCCCTGCATCTATTTGAAAGCATACTGTGAAAAACTTTGGTAACTCAAATAGTGTAGTATTTATTAAAACAATAAACATCATTAATGAATAAAGAATACAATAAAATAAAAAGTCTAAGCAGATTCCTTTATCTGTATATATGGGACTTGGTGTAAGATAAATGTAACATTTCTAATCCATGGAAAAAGAATTGACTATTTAAAGAATTTTGTTGGAACTAATAACTATCCATTACATCTTTATCCAGCACCAAATACAAAGATAAATTCCAGATGTAGTCTCTACTTAAATGAAAAACCACAACTATAAAAGTATTAGAAGAAAATATAGGGAAATAAGTATATAACTTTAAGAGGTAGGCATTGCAAAGTATATTAGTCAGAGTTCACTTGAAGATAACAGAAATTATTCTACCTGGCTTAAGCAGAAAACAATTTAACACAAAGAGCCTAATACTGAGAAACTTAACAGAAGGGATTGAAGGAGCATGATTTAAGTAGTACTTTCAGAAAAGATTTCCAAACATCGCTGCAGATCTGGCCACCAAAATAAACAATAACTCTTCTGTGATCAGAAAACTCCAACATCAGGAAGCTGGGGAATCCACTAACACTAAGACCACTCTACCTTAGCCCTTCCATATCAGCCAAATGAATTCCTATCTACCGGATTTCTTGATAGCCATGAAAGTAAAGATAGGAACTGGGACTTCTACTACTGCTGTCTCTGAAAATCCAATGCACCTCCCACTCTGCTTGCCTGTGGAAATAGCTAGAATAGCAAAGGCATAGATGTACTCTTCACTTCCACCTTCTAAATGTTGGCAGGCAGGAAACTGTCTGCTAGATATTAGTTTACATGAAAAATTCAAGTTTTGATGGATTTTCTGAAATTTAGTTTTTACACATTGTAGTCTTTCTACTTTCTAGCCTCTAGTATGAAGTAAAGCATACTACAAGCGGGTTGGAAATTTACCAAGGGAGTCAGTTTGCAATTCCTTGTACAATAAGAAAGAAAACTCAGAAGCTATAAAAGGGAAGATTGATGAATGAACTACATAAAATTTAAACTTTGATATAGTAAAATAAGTGATAAAAAAGTAAAATAAACCAAAACAATAACAATAAACAAGCAATATCTTGGAGGAAAATGTTTGCAATATACAGAGCAGATGAACATCAGTGCTCCTAAGGTATAAAGATGACTGCATCACTAAGAAAAAAACACAGTAGAAAGATTGGAACAGAGTATCAGAACAAACAATGAATAGAAAAAGAAATATACACAAATGATAAACACATGAAAGGATTCTGAACCTAACCAGTTAAGAGTGAAATGCGTATTAACACAAGGCAATATGATTTTGATCAATCAGATTAGAAAAAAAATATTCAGTTGCTGACATACAGTGTTGATGGGCGTATTCATTAGTATTATCTTCTGGAGAGCCATTTGTCAAAATTTCTGATATATGACAAAATTTTAAATGTACATGCCATTTAACTGAACATTTTCACTTCTAGGAATCAGACATCCAGAAATCTACTTAGTAAGGCATCATTTGTGATAACGAAAAATGGAGACAACCTAAATGCTTTCATCAAAAGGGAATAGTGTTAAATAACTTAGGCACAGCCATTCTATGAAAATAATAAGTAATCAGCTTTTGATATCTATGTCTATTCATTCTTGGAAATGGACACAAGATTTCAGTACAGGGACAGATTGTTACTTACTGTAATCACATCTGTTCCCCCTTGGCCCCAATTATTTCCCTTTCTGAGATGGTATAATGAGAGTCAGATAGATATCATCATATATAGAATAGGGTCTGTACTGTAGGTGTGAGGAACTTCATAAATATGAATCTGGGAGTTTATACAGAAGAGGGCAGCTAGTCCCCAACTTTTGTCCTTAGAAAAGAAAGGAAACCTTTGCTCCCCAATCTAAACAAATTCTTCTAGGAGCAGAAGGGAAAGAATCCTAGGTTCTTATCATTTGGAATATAGGTAAGTGTTTCCAAGGGGAAATTAAGACAAGCATTTCTCAGTTTACAACCTTTAGAATGTCTCCACAGTTTGGGAAAGATAGGTTTATTACTCTACAAATGGAAGCAGATGGCTCCGGGTCTAACACCCTTGCACATGAGGAGCAAAGAGATCTGAGGAGATGGGGACATGCTCAAACATGTCAGTTTCCTTTGCTCAGGAAGCCCATCAAGCAGAAACATGAAAATACTCTCTTCCCGACAGTAAGTAGATGAATAAATGTAGATTTGTGATAGTGTCACCCAGAGTAATAAAAATATAGAACATTCAATGAAAAGCCAAGAAATAGAACAATATATTAAGTATAATCTTACATATGTGAAATTAGTAAGCTAAAGATTAACATGACTAGCTCTTGGGAAAGAGAATGGATGTAGTAGTTTTTAAAAAGTAATTTTCATTTTAACTATTTACACTTATTATTTGATTTGGGGTAGAACTAGGGGTGATTTTTAAATTTTCTTCTTTATTTTCCAGATTTCTTATAAGAAATATATATATTTGTTTTATAATGTCACCTTTTTAATAGTCAAAAACATTTCATTCATCAAATGTTTCTCACACTTCAAGACAGCCATGAGATTAATAAATTGTGTCCGTTATCATTTACTATGTAATTAGGTTTCTCGCTTATTCCAAAAGATAATTGGTACATCATTGTTGATGGAATGAGCTTCTCTTCTGGCATCTGTTCATCAATGTTTGTTTGTTTCACATTAACTTTTAAAACCTCATCAACTTAGCAATATTTATAAAGCATCTATTACATACTTGGGATTATAAATGGCACTGAAGTTACAAAAAATTGCAGTTGGTCCTTCCTAAAGAGCTCACAATCTACAGAGAGTAAACGTCCTGTGCTAAAACATATCATAATTCCCTGATAAACAACGGCATGGGAAATAAGCATGGTGTGGGCCATGCACAGGGAGGCTAAAGAGAAATAGAAAATGTTTCACAAACAGGTATCATTTGAAATAGTTCCTGAAGATACCAATCATATCACATTGCAGCTAAAGGGAATCAGAACAGTAGGCAGTTTTTTATCAACCCACTGAAGAATATTAAGAAGCAGCTTAATCTCAATTTGTTATCTGATTTTTAAACCAAATGAGATAACACAAGTTTCCAGCACATCAGAGAAAGTTAGTTCATGAGGAGACAGAGTATGCATGTGATTGAAATGAGTGGGGTCTCTCAAATTGTTATTATTACAAGTTGGGGTAGCTGTCTAGGTATATATTATTCTTAACTCTTAAGTAGTAAGTCCTGTGTAACATAGATGTGTTTTTTGCGTTTTGTTTTTGTTTTTGAGACAGAGTCCCACAATGTCACCCAGGCTGGAGTGCAGGGCACAATCTCTGCTCACTGCAACCTCTGCCTCCAAAGTTCAAGTGATTCTCCTGCCTCAGCCTCCAGAGTAGCTGGGATTACAGGCTCCCACCACCAAGCCGGCTAATTTTTGTATTTTTAGTAGAGATGGGCTTTTACCATGTTGATCAGGCTGGTCTCGAACTCCTGACCTCAAGTGATCTGCCCACCTTGGCCTCCCAAAGTGTTGGGATTACAGGCATGAGCCTGATGCCTGGCCAGATGTTCTTGACAAAAGTAAAATAGAGAATAACTTGGTGGTTAAATTTTAAAGCTTAAGTTCCTTTGGTTCAGTGAAAAGAACTGGGCTACTGCTGTGTCCACTCTTCATTACTCTAACAGAGACTCAAGTGAGGGGGACCCAGTGAGAGCAGGGGGAGTCAGAAGAGAGTGAGGCTTAATTAAGTCAGTAAATCTCAAAATGTGCTCCTCAGACCAGTAGCCTCAGAACCATCTGGGAATGGCTGGAAATGCAAATTCTCAATCCCCACTCCAGACCTACTAAATCAGAATCTCTCAGGGTGGGGCCCATCCATTTGTGTTTTACCAAGCGCTTCAGTAGTTCTGCTGCCCACTGGACACCCAAGTTTGAGAATCACTGCACTAAGGTAAGAGCTCATTCATAAACATGCCAACAGTTAGTGGCTTTAATTTCACCAGCTACCTTCAACTTATGTATTAGTAAGAAGGAAACATGGCAGACAGGAGAATTTAAGCAAGAAAGGTTTTTTTTTGCTATTTTTCTCAAATAAATGTATGCAAATATTTAATAGAGGGTACACAAGTAAAAATACTCTTTTCATTTTAAATAAAATAGACCTGCAAGTGGTGGAATGAATGTTTCAGTCCTATTGCCTCTTGGGCTTCAGAGAATCAGTGGAAGCTGCAGCAGAACCAGTCTTCACAATGATAAAGCAAACTATCCTGGATTTGTCCTGACTTGAGGAAACCAGGGTGACGCTCCTTGCCCCAAACACATGTCCACCATCCACAGGCCACATGATCAAAATTCCATCATGAAGACATTTTTTTCCGGCTTAAACTAAGCATTCTCTGAGTATCTAAACTTACATACGCAAATCCCTCCCCCATTCCGCCACCCAAAGAAGAACACCTTAAATTGTCACCAGTTTGATTCAACCATGGATTCATCAATCATAATCTCTTCTTCTGAAATGAGAAGTCCAGAAAGGAGTATACGCCAGGTATGTGGGGAGCAGAATAATGTAGCTAAGTGAGGTGGGGACATCAGTCATTGGAAATAAATTTCAACTTCTTCACCCACATAAGACCCTGGATTCTTCGGAGTCTAATTCTGGCCTAACTTTAAATAAGCCCTCCACCCTTTCAATGCCTCAAATTTCCAGCTGTCTAAAGTCTCTCAAGTTTAGGGTTTTAAAAATACTTGGTGGTCTTTGAATGTTAAGTAGGTAAAGAGAAAAAAAAAAACTCTAAATTTAGAGTGTGTGGGAGCTGGGCATTCTGGCTAACTTCACTCATGACTCCTATTACCAGTGCCAGTCTAAAGATCATCTAGAGTTCTGGATGAAGTGAGGGAAGTCATTTGTCCAGCACTCAAATATTATCTCCAGGTGACAGCTTATTTTACCCCAGTGAAGGAAAAGACTGACTAAATTATAGTCAAATATTCATGGATGTTCAAAGCTTTGCATTACTCTTATAAAAATAGAGATACAAATAGTCTCTATTTTTATAGAGACTAAACTGTGGGGAGGAGGCAAGTGTTATTTTCAGTGACCTTCACTACCTATATTGTTTATTTTAGATACTTTTGTCTCCTCATACGAAATATTCTGATAAGGCAGGAAGAAAGAGTTCCTTATATTTTATTACAGAACTAAGTGGTTAATTCATAACTTAGGGCTTTAAACCACTTCCCCCACTGCTTAATGAAGAAAAAGATGTCTCAAGGTTTTCTTTCTATTCCTGGTAGCTGAGTTCTGAAGAGATAAGCAACCAAAACTGCTAACATCAATCACTCTTGGGAAGATAAACTGCCTGACCTTTTGGGGAGCCATTTACACTTATATAACACCAAAACCAAGGAGCTTGAAACTCTTATGGGAGGTTATCGTGCATACACAATCTTTAAGTATTTACTGTTGCCACTCCTTAAGAAGGGAAATAAACACAAAGAGTTATAAATATACTTTCCTGAACCTATATACCGCAGCAGGGAGAGATCAAAGGAAGCCCCCCACTCCGCCGCAGCCTTCTCAATCCTAGCTCCATCCAGTCCTCTACCTCATTGCTGATTCCCCACACCCACCCACATACCCAGAAATCCTATTCCTCAGAAAATGGCACTACCATCCACCTGTTGCTCAGGCCTAAACCATAGGAATCTTCCTGGATTCTTCTTTTTCCCTCCCCAACCCACCACCAAATCAATCAGATCAGCCAAGTCCTACCGTGTATGATCCATGCATGAATGACCAATACATACATGTATACCCAGTCACTTCTTGCCACTTCCATGACAGCCTCTCTTTCCCACCATCAACATCTCTCATGGGGACCCTGACAGGAGCCTCCTACCTGGCCCCTTAGGAACTGAGTCATCTTTTAAGATGTAAATCAGATTTTGTGACTACCCTGCTTCAAACTCTCCAGCAACTTCTGAGGATAATTAGAATAAATTTCAAATTTTCTATCATGGTCTGTAAGGCCCTGACTATCTGTTCATCCTCACTGTGTTCCACTTGTCAGTCAGGCTGGTGGGAAAAATTTTAGTTATAGAGAATATACACAAACCCTTTTGGAAGGCCTGGGGGTTTTTACATATAGTACTTGGCTGAAGGCAGCCTTGTCCCCTTAGTTAAATAAATTAGAGTGGAAACAAAGGAATGTGGGAAATTTATCTAACTAACTTGTTTACTCATGTGGTCCTAAGATTAAACTTTGATCTACCGCAGGTGCTTAATTGCTCTCTACTCATGAAGTCCACAATGTCAATTACCCTCTAATGGTGTTGACTCAAGCCTTTGTGAATTAATCTTTACTGAATAAATGCGAGTCTCACTGGCTGGTCGGGCCACGGTCGCAACTGTTTACAGCACTCTCCTGGGAGTCTGTAAATGGCCCGGATGCTCAGCCAGACTGGCAAAGCAGAATATCTGTGTCAGTGTACTTTATTCACCCGTCGTGGGGTGGGTCAGGGTCTGTGGGATGGACCCCCGCACTTGTTCACTCTGTTCAGACTCTCCAGCTTCACTGTTCTTCTGGGGTTTTTGGTCCCTCAAACTCACCTGGCTTATTACCTTCTTAGAGCCCGTTTCCAGAAAGCTGGTTCCCCAGATCTTTGCACAGCAGTCATCTTCATATCATTCAGGTCCCAGCTCACATGTCACGTCTTCAGAGAAGAATTTCCTGAAATGCCTCTCAAACCCCATCTACTGTTGGTCCCCTGACTCAACCACATTAGAACCTTATTATTTTCATTTTTCTTTGGATCACTTATCACACATGAAATTCTCTTATTTTTTAAATATCTGTCACAGTAGCGAAGATATGGAATCAACCTAAGTGTCCATACACAGATGAATGGATAAAGAAAATGTGGTACAAATACACAAAGGCTATTCAGCCTTTAAATAGAAGTATGTCCTGTCATTTGCGACAACATGGATAAATCTGGAGAACATTACGTTAAGTTAAATAAGCCAGGCACAGAAAGACAAGCCCTGTACAATCTCATTTATATGTGTAATCTAAAAATGTCAAACTCGTAGAAGCAGAGAGCAGAATGGTGGTTGCCAGAGGCTGGGCCTGGGGATAGGGGACTGGGGAGATGTTGGCCAAAAGATACAAAAGTTCAGTCAGATAGGAGAAATAAGTTCAAGAGATTATTGTAAAACATAGTGATTATGGTTAATAACAATATATTATATACTGGAAAATCATTAAGAAAGTAGATTTTAAGTGTTCTCATCATAAGAAAATGATAAATATGTGAGTTAATGCATTAATTAGCTTAACTTAGCCATTCTAAAGTATACACATTTTTAAAAATGTTGTACATCATAAATATATGCAATTTGTATGTTCAATTAAAAAATAACATTTTAAATATATATATATATATATAAAAATAAATAATTATCTGTCTCTCTGTACTTGACTGTAAATTCCATGAACGCAGGGACCTTGTTGCTACACACTCTAATTCCTAGAGCAGGGCAAAGCATAGAATGGTCCTTGATAGATACTTGTTGAATTATTGAATAAATTAAATAATTATTCTGACTAAACCCACTCTATAGAAGTTTCCGTCATGTAGGTAATACTAAGAACAGTCAATTCAACAAGTATTTTTATGTGTCTACCAAGAGCCAGGAACTATTCTAGGCATTTCATTGGGTTGGCCTGTATTGTCCAATTTATGTTGATGAGGACGTGCTTTTGATCACCAGAATATGCATTTTAAATGCTACCTGAAGAAAAAACTCACTTCAAGTATACAGGTTATGCCACTCACATGTCTTAGCCTGGGCGTTGCTACTGGGGCTCCCAAAGGCACCATTATAAAGCAAAATCTTATCATCACTTCTGGAAAAATAAATCACAGAGACATTTCTGAAGATGGGGAAATGGCATTTTCAGGTATCCAAGAGTAAGAGTCAAGTCCTGGGTCTGCCATTCACAATGCAAGTAAACTTGGACAAGTTACCTTATCCCTCTGTGCCTCAGTTATGCATCATTTAAAAAGAAGAATATTAACATTTTTCCTGCCTACATTATAGAGTTATAGCAGCTAAGAACACTGAATACATGTCATCTAATATTATAGACATGCACATGCTCACACACACACAGAATGGATAACAAACAGTAAATAATATATGGATTATGCTTACCATTTATAATCAAGTAATTTATGTTCAATGCAAATGATTGCTCTCACTAGAAGTAAGAATAGTTAGATCTTTCCATATCCATCTGTTTAAAAGGGATTTCCCAAACACAGCTTCCCATTCATTTCCTTAGATCATGTTTTGAGATGTCCATAAGTAGTAGCTATTCTTCTTCCTAAAAATAAACTAAACTCGAAACACAGACTAACTTTCAGTTAGGGCTGCAATGACATGTTCAGTGGCCCCCAATTCCCAAATTATTCCTTTCTGTATCCACTGATGGTGATAGGAGTCAGGGAGAAAAACTGATACACTGGATCCCAAGTGTGAGTGCAATATGCAGACAGGCCAGGAGAGTCCACTCTGATGGAACAGTCTATGTGGATAATTCTCAGGCCTCTCTGGAGGTAGTGTAGATATACATAACATATGGACTTCTCAACCCCCATAGTTTTTCCAGCTACAGATTTGACAAGGGGAAGAGGAGAAAGTGACATTTTAGTACTCTAACTCTAGTAACTGATATAGTTTGGATGTGTATTCTCACCCAAATCTCATATTAAAATGTAATCCCCAATGTTGAAAGTGGGACCTGGTGGGAGGTGATTGGATCATGGGGTAAGATTTCTCATGAATGGTTTAGCACCATCCCCCTTGGTACTGTCCTCTCAATAGTGAGTGAGTTCTCCTGAGATCTGGTTGTTTAAAAGTATGTAGCACCCTCCCTCTTCACTCTCTTGCTCCTGCTTTCGCCATGTAATGTGCCCACTCCCTTTTCACCTTCCTTCATGATTGTAAGCTTCCTGAGGCCTCCCCAAAAGCAGATGCCAGTACTCTGCTTCCTGTACAACCCGCAGAACCGTGAACCAATTAAACCTCATTTCTTACAAATTGCCCAGCCTCAGGTATTTCTTTATAGCAATATGACAATGAACTAATATAATTTTAGACAAATATTCCTAGGCAATATTCAAATAATATTTTCTAAATGCTGTCTGTTTACTATCTCACCTTGGAGGATAAAGCTCATGCCACTTCATCTTTCCAACTCAAAGGCATTTGTAGTTCATCAATTATTAGGGACCTATTTCATTCAACTCTTACTTGGGGCTCCTTCTTAATTATTTCACAACTCTGGAATATAAACTATATAAGCATATGTGAACATCAACTTAAAAAGGAGGCCTTTCAACAATTTTTGCACATGGGCAAGTTTAAGAATTATACCATAAAGGTGCCTGAAATGTGTAAGGATAACAAGAATCTTTAAAGGAAAAAAATTAAAGGTAATTCTATTAAGTACCTATTAGATTTGCTTGAGAATACAATCTAGATATTAGGATGTACCCTTCTTTCTGCCTTACATACCCAAGTCAGTCTTCTTTAAACTCACTCTTTAGACCACACAGAGCTACACCATGAGACTGGCTTCTGAGTGACCAGAGCATATGAGGAGGTTCTTGGTGGAAGAATGAAGATTCTTGGTGTCTGCTGCTGATTACAGCCATATGCTGGTTCTACAGGCTGTTTCAAATCTGTCCTCTGAGTTCTTCTGGGTCTGCATCCAAATTCCAGAGCCTGGGTTGGGTGGCTATTAAGCTAAACATCTATCAGAATCCCAATCCCTACATGCAGAAGTAAATACAATACTCTATGTGTGGTTTCTTGTGTGTGTTTTTCTGAGGAAGAAGGACAATAGATTTTATTAGAAGTTAAAAACCATTTGATACGGTTTGAGTCTGTGTTCCCACTGCATGTTGAATTGTAATCCCCAGTATTGAGGAAGGGACCTGGTGTGAGGTGATTGGATTATGGGCGCGGATTTACCCCTTGCTGTTCTGGTGATAGTGAGTGAGTTCTCACGAGATCTGGTTGTTTGAAAGCGTGTAGCACTTCCTCCTTCCCTCTCTCTCTCTCTTTCCTGCCAGCCATGTGAAGATGTGCCTGCTTCCCCTTTGCTTTCTGCCATGATTGTAAGTTTCCTGAGGCCTCTTCAGAAGCAGAAGCCTGCCTGTGCATCCACAGAACCATGAGACAATTAAAACTTTTTTTATAAGTTACCCAGTTTCAGGTTGTTCCTTATAGCGATGCAAGAATAAACTAATATACCACTAATTTCCATTATCTGTGCTATCCTAGTTACTGAATTCTCTCTGGTTTAATCCATCACTTTGCTTTAACTCAGGCTTCAGGGTTCACCTATATTTAGAAGCACAACCTCTCCGGCATGTCTGAACAGCTCATCTCATTCCAGCCCTTAACTAAGTTTAGCCATAATCTCTGGGCACTTTCCTGTCTCATTTCCTTCCTGTACCTCCCCTCTTCTTTGTACACATTGCTATAAGTATTTAGCCTTGGTCCCACCCAATGTCAATATGCAAATCCCTATTTCAACTAAATGTGCTGATCTTTAACCCAGTTAAGTATATTATCCTAAATGGATCCTATTCACTTGCCACTCAATGCTATTGAAGAAAAACTGTTTGTGTGTGTGTGTGTAATAAGAACTTTAAGTACTTCAATAAAATACATTGTAGTTGGCCTGCAGAATTGGTCAGAAAAGGACTTCTTTTTACTAAAGATTTGTGCTTTTAAACATAACATAAACCAACCAAGAAGGGGGTTTTGTAACTGCAGTCACAGTCTGTAAATGAATTCTTGACACTGGGCAACAGATTTAGGAAAATATGGTCCCTCAGGCATAGCAGGTAACTACTAGGAAAATTCTACTAAATTTCAGTATTGGAATAAGTATGTAGATGACCTGAAAAGGCCCTATCTGCAGAAACTAGCTATTTTGTTCCAAACTCAAGAGAAAGTGTATCTTTAAATTCAGTAAAAGGTCATACATAGTTGTCTCTCATTTCTGGCCTATGTATAATACACAAATGATATTCTATGTTGCCACAATGCATATTTTTCCCAAAGATAGAAGCCATATGATCAGATGATTAAAATGGAATAATATACTATAAGGATATATATTCACAAATTATAATAATTATCTTCTCGTTTTAAATAATGTCTTCGTTTTAGGCAGAATTCTAAGATAGACGTCCAAGATTCCTGTCCTCTGGTTATTCAATCAAATACTATCCAGGTTCTGCTATAAAGAGATTTTGAAGATATGAAGTTCCAAATTGGTTGACCCTAAGCTACAGAGAATCACATGAGCCCTTTAAAAGCAACATTTTCTCTGGCTGGTAGAGAGGATGAAATCAGAGAGACTTGAAGCCTGAAAATAATTTGATGCACAATTGTTGACTTTGAAGACAGAAGGGTCACATGCAAGGAACAAAGAGCAACCTCTAAAAGCTAAGAGAGACTCCCTGCCAACAGCCAGCAAGGAAACGGTGGCCTCAGTCCCACAACGGCAAGTAATTAAAGTCTATCAACAACCTGAATGAGCCCCGCAAGTCCAACACCTTTATTTCCACCTTTTGAGACCCTAAACAGTGAACTCGGTCAAGCCATGCCAAATTTCTGACCTACAGAACTGTTACTTAATAAATTAATGTTGTTCAAGCCACTAACTTTGTGGTAAATTGTTGCACAGCAATAGATAACTTATACACTATTCCAATGTGCCATGTTTCTTTTGTCTCTAATATTTTCATGCAGTTTTGTACAAAGATTCAAAATCTGACTCACAAAGAGAAACAGTGAGGCCACCAGGTGACAATCAGAAGAGCTCTGTTGACCATCCCGATGATCATTTATTGGGTTATGATGATCTGTATAGGAAAATGACTCACTCAGCTTTAATAACAAGCCAAAATAGAAGAATCAGCAGAACCGTCTAACTAAAATGACTAACAATCATTTTCTAGATTGAAATGCATATTAGGAAGTTTTAACGTAGGTCTCTGATGAAGTTAAATGCTTATTTTTATAGCACACGATTTTGCAATAAAAGCAAGTGATTGTAAAAACAAAGGGACAGAACTACACTGGATGATTCCATGGAAACCTGAGAGTGAATTCATACCTACGGGCATGCAAATTTGGTTTTACCACTGCCGCCTAGCACATCTCAACATTGCTTGGCTGGGCTTACCTTTATCCAGATTTCTGCCTCCCTCTCAACAGAACAAATATGATTGGAGGATGAGGAAATTGGTAGTCCATGGGGACCACAGAGAAAGTATATTAATGAGAATTCCACTGGGAAAGCAGTACAAAGCTCTCTCTACTCATAGTCTGGAAATAGCGTGATTCTCCAATTAAAAATTAATCAAGTGAATAAGACCCTGCAACACAAAACAGTGAAAGAAAATTAAACATCTCCCTAGGGAAAAGCCTACAAGTCATAAAAAATTAAAAAATAAAACTGAATACTTGCAAATATAATTTACAAACTTAAGGTTGTTGATGACTCACTCCCATGGCAAGATCACAAGTCCCGTATGCACAAAAACCACCACCTAGGGGATGGAGGGGGCAGATAACAAAACACAGACTCAGAACCCATCCCCCACGGAGGGTGCTGACGCAGAAGGCCTGGGATTCAGAAGGTCTGGTTTCAGTAGTTAGGACTAGTAACTTGAAGGGATTCTGATGGGCATCTGATATGAGAAGCTCTAGTAGCAACCAGTTTCCTCACAATTGCCTAGCCAGTTAGGTGCTCTCTCAGTACAACACATTGCTTATTGTACTGCTTATTCAGGAGCTGAACTTGCATTTGTGAATTATTCAGACACTTGCCAGTTTTCTCATCCAGTCACAAATGAGATCATCCTAAGCAGAGCTAACCTTAGGATAAACACTGGTGAATAAAACTTTTCCTGTTGCTATTTCCTTCATTCACTAATGAATTCAACAGTTAACGAGAAGCTATTATGTGCCAGGCACCAGACAAAGTCCTGAGGATTCAATGACAAAGAAGTAAAAATAGCCCCCGCTCTCATGGCATTCAAAACCTAGAGTCATTAATAAGCAAATGTGATACAATATAATAAGTGGCAGGTTGAGAAAAATACTAGGAGGAGGAAGTGTTTCTGGCAGTGGAAACAGCTCGTGCAGAACCTAGAGTTAAGAAAGAAGCTTAGTATGGTGGAGAGGAGTGTATCTGTCTGTGGGTGTGTATGTCTGTGTGTGCAAATGTGCACAAAGGTGTTGGGGAGAATAGTAAAAGATGAAATCAGAGAGGAAAGCAGGGGCCAAATTATGTCCCCTTAAAGGTAATCTCACTGTGGTAAAGTGTGTTGGTAAACTTTCTCAGGGCTGTTATTCAAAGGGCTCTGACCATATCAAGACAAAAATAATAAGGCTGGATACTGTGACAAGGTGTGTTTTAAGGACATCAAGATTTTCTAACAGCTTGATACAGCAGTTCCTGTGTAAATTCAGAAAAATATATGACTCTTTGTTTTCTCTCTTTTCCCATATAACATGAAAGAACGCATTTATCTGATCACTTTCAGGTGAGACTGGTACAGCAGCTAGTGATCCATAAAGATAGCTACTATGTACCTTGGCATGTTGCCAATATTGTCAGGCTTCCAACTCACAATATTTATAGACTTTAGAAGTCATGGTTCAATGTTCACCCAGGGCAACAATCTCTTGTAAGTTTTACATATTCTTTTGTGGGGCAGCATCAGATAGAACCTCAACTTCCTGTTAGGTGGCTTACTCCAAATTTAACAAGCCAAGCTCATCCAGTTCAAGGTGGAGCTTTTCTGGACTGAAGGTCTGAGCTATAGTTCTAGAAATTAATAATTTGGTGTGGGAAAAAGAAATGGAAGAGATCATCCAAGATATACAATAAAAAGAAAGGAAAGTTTGAAAGTGACAGAAGTATTTGATTTGTCAATAAGGAAGTAACAGGTGGCATTCAAGGGAAGGAGTGATGTCAATATCTGGACCAATAAAAGTTAATTAACCCCTGGTGAATTGAGGGATGATATAGATATCAGTCTTAGCCTGGACACTGGATGTATTTCACTTGCTCTTCCAGAACAAATTTATTCTCCACCCTGCTCTTCTCTGCTCTGTGCCTAGGGACTGGTTTGTTGATTAATTGCATCATGAGCAGTGCTGCCCTCTGGCTTACAGCTGAGTTCAGCCAATGGGAGGCACTAGTAGATCCAAGTGAAGAAGAGGAGGCGAGACTAGGGTATCTTTTTCTCTGGCTATTGTTTGGCTCTTTTCTTCTACCAAAGGCCACAACCCCCATCAGATCAATTCTGCTATAGCCTCTCTCTCTCTCTGCCTGTGTGTGTGTGTGTCTTCCATCTCTCATATATGTATATATCAGTTCTACTTCCTTCTCTTGCGGCCTCAGATCTAGGAGGTAATGACTCCCTTCCGTTGCTAGCTTTATCATTCCTTACAAGTTCCTTTTGACCTTGCCTACCCTGCCTACATCTTTGTAAATGGTCCTTTCATTGAACTCTTTCTGTTACTCGGTTTAAGTGGGCCATTTATTTCCTGTCTGGATCCTAACTGATACAGCCTGCCACAGACTGCATGCTTCTTACATTAGCATTGGAGAGTTAGCCTGACTTTCAGAGGTAGTTAAGACAATAACAATTGTTACTAAAAGTTAGATAGAAACTACAGTTCACTAAATGTATTCAGATGTTATCTCACTTCTCATTCTTTATCCATCATGATTAAAATGCAGATCTCGCCTGCTCTAATGGAATAATAATTATAGATGATAAATGTAAATATGGGTATTTACTACCAGATCCAAGTCTAAATCATATTCTTAAGAATTCAAGGGTGGGCATGGTGGCTTATGCCTGTAATGCCAGCACTTGGGAGGCCAAGGCAGATGGATCATCTGAGGTCAGGAGTTCAAGACCAGCATGGCCAACATGGTGAAACCCCATCTCTACTAAAAATACAAAATTAGCCAGGTATGTTGGTGCATGCCTGTAATCCCAGCTACTTGGGAGGCTGAGGCAGGAGAATCACTTGAACACGGGAGGTGGAGGTTGCAGTGAGCTGAGATCACACCACTGCACCCCAACCTGGGCAACGAGAGTGAAACTGTGTCTCAAAAAAAAAAAAAAAAAAAAAAAAGAATTGAGGAACCCAAATTTTGTATAGTCTTAAAGCTGAATGAATTAGAACTTCATTACATGAACTGGCTCTATTTCCTTCATCTGGACTCCAGATTCTTCAATTTCACTGATACTTATTTTTGAAACTTCATTTCTATTAGCAGATTTCTAAAGGCAGGGAAGGTGGGGTTTTGAGTCGGAAATTAATTATCAAGTAGATATTAAGACCATATTTTATAATGATAATTGAATCAATTAAGAGAAGTCTGCCAAACCAATTGTTTAGTGGCATATAGATAAATCAACCACCATAATGACTATTTTCCCTCTTTTTAACAACTCGTTTCTTTTTTATGTAGACATAACACAAATATCCTTATTGTGTAAGCAAAACATATGGAAAAAAATTTTTTAACTTTTGTAATTCTAAAAAAAACCAGCAAAGATAAAATATTTCTATAATAAACTTGATAATGAATTTCATAGGATACTCAATTCCCAAAATAAGTAACTCCATGATGAGTGTACACAAAATAGAGTTGAGAAATATGTGAAAATACAAATACAAAATATCTGAGCAGTTTGTGCCTTTATATGGTAAGGATGTTGTTGAGGGCCCAGAAGAAAGATTTCTGTGTTAAAATTCAGGGAGTTTGGGCCGGGCGCGGTGGCTCACACCTGTAATCCCAGCACTTTGGGAGGCTGAGGCAGGCAGATCATGAGGTCAGGAGATCAAGACCATTCTGGCTAAGACGGTGAAACCCCGTCTCTACTAAAAATACAAAAAAATTAGCTGCGTGTTGTGGCGGACACCTGTAGTCCCAGCTACTCAGGAGACTGAGGCAGGAGAATGGGGTGAACCCAGGAGGTAGAGCTTGCAGTGAGCCGAGATCACGCCACTGCACTCCAGCCTGGGCAACAGAGCGAGAACTCCATCTCAAAAAAAAAAAAAAAAATTCAGAGAGTTTGGTGGTCTTCCCTTTAAGGTAAGAGAAGGTGGAACTGAAAAAGTTAGAATGCAATTTATATTACTTCTGACACAGTGGGTTTCTTCCCTCATACCCAGAGAGCCAAAGGGCTTGAATCAGTGAATATCAAAAAGTGAAATATTCAGTGATTAAATGAGAAAATCCAGGTCTCCTTCTGATATATGTGTATCAAACAAAAAAATTACCCCCAAATAAATCACACACAATAAAGATCCTATCTCCTTTTAGGAGAGAAACTATCATCATTGGAAGATATATTTCAGATGTAAAATAATGAAATATATGACCTGCAGATATAACAGCATCAAAAGAACCTCAATTTCCTATAGAGTAGCTTGCCTCAAATTTAGGAAGCTTTTCCAATTCAACATAAAGCTTTCCTGACCAAATTCATTCAGTTTGAAATAAAGCTTTTCTGAACTAGAATGATACTTTGAACTATAGTTCTAGAAAGAAATAATTTGAAGGTGGGAAAAGGAGATGTAGGAGATCATTCAATATGTATAGTACAATAGAAAGAAGGGAAAGTGTGAGGGTAAAAGAAACATTTGTCAATAAGGAAGTAATTGGTAACATTCAAGGGTGTAGGCTTAGCAGTGGAGGAAGGCGTGTCCCAAACTATCCTAATGAGTGGACAGAAATAAAATGAAGATGGTAATCATAGCCTACAGAATGGAAAAATAAGTGGTTGAAAGAAGGAAAACAGTCATCATGTTTGATCTATATCAGCAGTCCCCAACCTTTTTAGCATTAGGGACCAGTTTCATGGAAGACAAAAATCCTTGAAATATTCTTTCAGGTATTTCATTTTTTATGGCCCCAGTTTGTATTGGGGGAGGGGGTGGGCGAAGGTTTGGGGATGAAACTGTTCCATTTCAGATCATCAGATATGAGTTAGATTCTCATAAGGAGCGCGCAACCTAGATCCTTCACATGCGCACTTCACAATAGGGCTCACGCTTCTGTGAGAATCAAGAATCTAATGCCGCCACTGATCTGACAGAAGGTGGAGTTCAGGCAGTAATGCTTGCTCACCCATTGCTCAACTCCTGCTGTGTGGCCCGGTTCCTAACAGGCCACGGACCAGTACCAGTCTGGAGCCATGGGTTGGGGACCCCTGATCTATATGGCATTTTAAACAACTGATTTGGCAGATTTCTACTCTTTTTTTTCTTTCTTTTTTTTTTTTTTTTTTTGAGACATGGTCTCTGTGGAGTGCAGTGGCACAATCACAGCTCATTGAAGCCTTAACCTCCTGGGTTCAAGTAATCCTCCCGCCTCAGCCTCCAGAGTAACTGGGACTACAGACCCATGCCACAATACCCATCTAATATATATATTATATATAAATATATATATATATATATATATATATATATATATTTTTTTTTTTTTTTTTTTTTTTTTTTTTTTTTGCCCAGGCTGGTTTCAAACTCCTGGGCTGAAGAGATCCTCCCACCACAGCCTCCCAAAGTGCTGGGATTACAAGTGTGAGCCATCATGCCCAGCCGATTTCTGCCCTTAATTGATTCAATTATTTTTAAATATGACCTTAGACATCTACCTGCTCATGATTAATTTCCAATCATTCAGAAAGTTTGCTTGTGAAAAGGAAAAATCCCTGTTTTGTGCTCCTTTACATCCCTGGGACCTAACAGCTAATGCCTGGCAAATGGGCTCTCAGACCTTGTCTATCCAGTCAGTACTAATTCAACCAATGATAGAAAGGGCTTAAGATCAAGGGAAGGTTTTTTTCATGTGAGGGAGGAACTGTGTATGTTTGAAGGCAAAGAGAAGGAAGCCAGTAGAGAGGAGAAATTGATCATATTAAAAGAAAGACCTTGATTTAGAGGGAAACATAGGCTAAGGTCACCAGAGGCAATGGTCGAAGATGGTGGAAGAGCCTTCCTAGGGCCTCTCCCCATTATTTATAGAAATCCTTCTTCATTCCTGTCAATCCCCGTTCCTCTTTCTCATCGATCTTTCTTTCCCCTCAACATTACAGTCTTTTCTTTTCATTTCTTCTATTTCCTCTCTCCCTCACTTCACTTCTCTCCCTCCTACCCAGCCATAATATAGATGTGAAATATAAATAATAAATATTAACTTTTATAATTTTTTTTTTTTTTTTTGAGACAGAGTCTCGCTCTGTTACCCAGGCTGGAGTGCAGTGGCGCAATCTCAGCTCACTGCAACCTCTGCCTCCCAGATTCAAGCAATTCTCCTGCCTCAGCCTCCCGAGTAGCTGGGATTACAGGCATGTGCCACCACGCCCAGCTTATTTTTTTGTATTTTTAGTAGAGATGGGGTTTCACCATATTGGCCAAGCTGGTCTCGAACTCCTGACCTTGTGATCCACCCACCTCGACCTCCCAAAGTGCTGGGATTACAGGCGTGAGCCACTGCGCCCGGCCTAACTTTTATAAAATTACATTAAGTTTTATGACTGTTCTTAAGCTAAAATCAGGTGAATTGAATGTTTTATATTTATATCTAAAATTTTTTAATGTGGCTGTAGAATAAATACTTTTCCTTTTGGTAAAAGGCAATATTCTTAAAACTTCATCCCAATGTAGACTCTTGGAAAAATAATTTGTTTTTTGGTATAGAAGGGAGTACTTTGTAGCAGAAAGCATTATGTTATAGTCTATAACACGGGCTGCAGAGTCAAGCCGACCTGAGATAAATCACAAATCCACCACTGGCTGGCTGGGGGACTTTGGCAAGTTTCCCCATCTCTGAAATGGTGCTATCATCTTCCTCTATAGAGTGGCTCTAAGTTTTAAATGAGGGAATGATGGAACTTTAGTGTAGTACCCTGCACAGAGTAAACACTCAATAAATGGTAGCCATTGCCATTATTAGCTGCTATATCCTGAACTCCCTGAAAAAAATCAGTAAATTTTTTATTAAAGATAAACCAAGAAAACATTCTTTCAGACATTTAGTTTTTTATGGCTCTAGTGTGTGTTGGTAAATTTACCATTACTTTTATTCTCGTTATTCTCATTTAGAATGAAAAAGAGAAGAAATGGAATCAAACCCAGCCTCCTGCTAATATACACAGTTAACTGCCAATTGCAGCCGGCTGTCCCCAAGATGTAGCAGGGCTGAGAAAGTGAAAGGTGCCTGTGTTGACGTGACAGCTCAAGCCATAAATAAGCATATCACTTTTAATTTAACTTCCCAAGCACTCAAGCTGTCACTCAAGATCATTGTTATGCCAATTATCTGGCATTAAATATTGTTATGATTTCTGACATCAAATCCATAATAGAACATTGTTTTAGAGTGACAGTTCAGTGGAAAATTCCCAGTAATTTCCCCCTGGCAATCTGGCCTGGTGAGGTTTAATTAAAACAGCCAAATTACAAGCTGCCTCAGAAGGTTTTATAATGAAATTGCTGGCTGGCCTTTAGTGATAATGGTGCTACAGAACACTGCTTATTGTCACATGAGCTTCCTTGGATATGAAAGGATTGGTCGTTGATTCAGTAATGGAAGCCAAGACTTTTTATTGCTGTCATTTCTGCTGCTTTTACTGGCAGTGAAAGTAGGAGATTTAAAGTTTCGTTTTTACTCATAAATATGCCCAATCATGGAATAGCAAGGCAGACGACTGGCACTTTAAAGGTCATCCATTTGAAAATCTATTGAAGGCTAAATAATGTAAAATCCTAAGGACATCAAATAATATTCCAAACACTAACAGAAAACGACAGCTTGGTCTGGGCTCAAGCAAGTCATTTCAAGCTCTCCTGTCCAGTTTGCCAGCTGCTCAGTCCCCAACCGCTTATATTACAGAAGAGGGAAAGAGGCTAGCCAGGGCTTCAGTTCTGTTGATGAGTGAGGTTGTAAATGGGGCATCGGGCTTCTTGCTTCAGCAACCTTTTGTTCCTCAGGGACTGCTCTGAAATTTCAGACCTGGAAAAGCCTATCTAAGACGATGATTACTCCTCTCATCCTAGTGACATTAGCTCAACGTCTTGCTAATGTAACATATATTCTTCAGCACCTTGTTTTACTGTCTTTCACACACCTCTACTGAAGTCTTTGGAGGCTTCAATCTGCTTTTTCGAAATAGTCTCAATCTTCTCTTCTCTCTTAATCTGCTCAAACCGGCTACCTAGACATCAACCAAATAGTTCAACACCACCCTTCTTCATTTCTGTAGTCGTAATGCTAGTACGTTATTTATAGTTTTGAAACTACATATCTTTATAGATTATATGAATACACAATTTCAGATTCAGGTCAGAGTGTGAAAAATAAGCACATAATCAGATTTTAAACTTTGTATTATGGTAAATGGATTTAATATAACTCCTTTGAAAATATATCTGAAAACTTTTTCTCCCATTATATAATTCTTCTTACATTATATATTTACATTATATATAAAATACATAATTACATAATATAAGAAAAATTGTAATGTATAATGTACTATAATTCTTCTTACATTATATAATGTCCCTTAGACATTACTTCTCAGGAATGACATTGAGCACACATGGACATAAACACGGGAACCACAGATACTGTGGACTAGTGGAGGGGGGAGGTATGGAGAGAGGTGTGGGTTGAAAAACTACCCATTGGTTACTATGCTCACTGCCTGGATGCAAAATACCCATGTAACATACCTGCACATGTATCTAGAGTAAAACTTGAATTTTAAAAATATATGTGTATGATGTACTAGAAGTATGCCTGGCACCAAGTAAGCATCTTCTCAGGAATGTCTAAGATGGCATTATATCCTTCAATGTACTCTTTATTGGGAGCAAAGAGTAAATTTGAATCCTTAGAATTAAACTGTGAAAGAAAAATATATAGGCAAACTATATTATCATGCTCATTTTAAAAAATGTAATCATGACAGTGAGAATTGTCATAGTGGAGTATAAAGAGAAAATTTAGCCTGAGAACCTTATCTACTGGCATCAAAACTTTTACTTGAAATCTAGTGAGAGTCACTCAATTATTTAAGCAATACATGTGAAAAGAGCTTTGATTGACAATGGACACTAAATTACTCTAAAAGTTTTGCTCATCAATAAAATAGTTGCCCATTTGGAGTTCCATCATCAAACCTTGTTCCTATTTCACTTTCTCTCATGGTCATAAACACATCATAGAGACAACTCTGGAACTGTATTTACCTAGGTTTGAACCCATCAACTCTTGTTTATTGTGTGACTTTGGGCAAGTACCTTAGCCTCTCTGAGCTTCAGATTCCTTATCTGTAAGATTGGGATGGGTAAAAATAGCACTTACAGAGTGTGAAAATGAAATGAATTAATATGGGTCATATCACCAGTCAGAATGGCTATTATTAAAACGTAAAAAAAAAAAAACAACAGATGCTGGTGAAGCTGCAGAGAAAAGGGAATGCTTATACACTGTTGGTGGAAATGCAAATTAGTTCAGCCACTGTGGAAATCAGTTTGAAGATTTCTCAAAGAATTTAATACAGAGCCACCATTCCACCCAAAATAGTTCAATATGCCAAAAAAGACACATGTGCTCATATTTTCATTGCCATGCTATTTACAATAGTAAAAACATGGACTCAACCTAGGTACCCATCAATAGTGGATTGGGTAAAGAAAATTTGGTACATATACACCATGAAATAATACACAGCCATAAAAAAGAATGAAATCATGTCCTTCACAGCAACATGGATGGAGCTGAAGGCCATAATTGTGAGCAAATTAATGCAAAAAGAGAAAACCAAATACCTCATGTTCTCACTTATAAATGAGAGCTAAACAATGAGTACACATGGACATAAACATGGGAACAACAGACACTGTAGACTCCTAGAGTTGGGGAGGTGTGGAGGGAGGTGTGTGTTGAAAAACTATCTATTGGGTACTACAGTCACTGCCTGGAGGCAATATACCCATGTAACAAACCTGCACATGTATCTAAAGTAAAAGTTGAATTTTAATAATATATGTGTGTGATGTACTAGAAGTATGCCTGGCACCAAGTAAGCACTCTCCATCAGGGCTGACTCTTCTACTCTAGGATGTGAATGCTGCAAAAGCAGGAGCTTGGTCTTCACTGTGTCTGTCTGTATCCACAGTTCTGGGACAGTACCCAGCACAGAGTACATGCTCAATAAATATTTGCTAAATGAATGAACCAGAACATTCAAGTATAAAAATGAACCACAAGATCATTTTTCTTTATCACTTTTTAATTTTTTTCATTTAGTATTAAATGCTTACTGTGGAAATTTTCCAAAAACATTTCTGTTAATGAAATCCACACAAACAAGGAAAAGAAGTCACGGGAATATGGACTCTACCAACACTGAGAAATACAACAAATTGTAAATTCTGCCAATATTATATAAGAAAATGTTGTCTTTAAGCAATTGCCTATGGCTCCAAGTTGCAGATGCAATTAATGCAAATAAGAAGAAAAATGTATTTAAGGTTTTTATTCCTAACAACTAAAGCCTAAACGCATTTCTCCCTTATTCTTCCTTGAAATAAACTTGTAATAGATTATTTCTATTTTTCATAAGATTTTTGGATATAAAATCCAGTTGGTGCACCATGATTTACTTCACTATTTGGTATTTCTGCAACCATATGTAAGTGACTAAAGGATTGTTATGCTAGTTGCTGATCATCTACAATTGGATCAGAAAATGCACACCAACAGAAAGACAAATATTGCATGTCACATTTATTTGTGGGATCTAAAAATCAAAACAATTGAACTTATGGACATAGAGAGTAGAAGGATGGTTACCAGAGGCCAGGAAGGTTAGTGGGAGGGTGGGGGTAAGGAAGGTGGGGATGGTTTCTGGGTACCAAAAAAATAGCTAGAAAGAATGAATAAGACCTACTATTTGATAGCACAACACAGTGACTACAGTCAATAATAACTTAATTGTATACTTTAATAACTTTCATATTTTAAAACTGGATTGTTTGTAATTCAAAGGATAAATACTTGAGGCAATGGATACCCCATTCTCCATGATGTGCTTCACATTGCATGCCTGTATCAAAACATCTCGTGTCCCCCATAAATATATGCAATTACTATGTACCCACAAAAGTTTCTTAAAAAAGAATATACACACCAGTCAGAAAGCCCTCTAATTCTATACACTAAGTTAATTTAAATATGTCCTTAACTACGTACTTTGAGTTACAAAAAAAAGACTTATAACCATGTTTCCCCAAACTACTAATATTTTCTATTCATCAAAAATAGGTCAATTATTTATTCTATTTTAGTCATCCACTATAGAAAATATTTGCCGAGTGCCCACAATAAGCCAGGCCCTGTGCTAGGTGTTCAGGATATAGACAAATATGACCCCTACTGTCACGGGATTTACAATCTAGCTCATGTTACAGAGGTAGTTTCATACTTGTATTTCAGATTTTATTTTTACTTATGATATTATATAAGTTTATTTATTTTCCATTGTTCTAAGAATAGAAAAATGAATCCTTATCTTAAAACTTCAGTTTTTTCAACCATCATTTGATTATTTCAAGTCACCTGAAATTATCACAAACCAAAGAAAATTACTAGTTTCAATAACTCACAAGCCTAAGTATCTGTGTTCAAATAGTCTCTGAGACTAGAATTCCTGTCTATTTTGATATCTATGGATTGGAGAGGAAAGAAAAACCTAGTATTGGATTAAATGTAAGAAATTGATGTTGACTGGCGGGAGGGTATGTCTGAGGCTCAGAGTATGCAGGCCTGCAGTCACATCGCTGACTCTGGAGAGTGAAGCAGAGTTGCAGTTCTTTGAAGTTGTTCACGAGTGAATAAATACGAAAAAAAAGAAAAACATTCTTAGTTCTTTAATAAATAATTCATTAACATATTCATTGGCATTATTCAAATACTCTAAGTGTGGTTGTCCAAATGCTTGAAAATAGTTTGTTGGACTAGGGACTTCATTAGAATAAACTATCTGCTTCCCTTATTTACATGATTGATATCTATATCAAACACATTTTTTAATGCAAAGATAAACCCATTCTGCAGGTCAGAATTATCACCAATTCCAATGAAGTCTGTTAATGAGGTGTTTGTTTGTTCTGTAGAGTACTATTCAAACCAGTAATGCACATCCCATATAGTTCATAACGACTTTTTTATTATGCAATCAAGAGTATTCGCAGGAACAGCATACCCTTGCCTGTTTACCATGTCTCTGTTTATTTGTTCACTGATTTATGAAGTGCAATACATTGCAAATTCTCTCTTAGTAATTGTGGAAAATTACTAAGGTTCCTCTGTATAGTATTTTTCATTATACTATAACAAGAGTTTACAGATAACTCAATTATGTAACTAAAGATTAAAGTTTTTGTTCAAGTGGTGATAAAAAGCTTGGGAAATCCAGTATAAATTTCAATTAATTCAGAAAAAGAGAAATTCACCCAATGTTCAATGGATCATGTAGATCAGTGACTGGTAATCTTTTGGGGCTCAAGGATTACTTTGAGAATTTAATGAAAGTTATTAATTTTCTCTCCAGAAAACCTAGACCAGGTAAAGAACTTCTGGTGAAGGGGGAAAAAAACAGTGATTTTTCACTTATCAAGCAGTTATCATGCATCATTAGATAGTCCCCAGTTGCCAATGCCTTCTCTGTTTCTGAGCTCAGCTGTTTCTACAGTACAGTTATTAAAAAGGTCTACCTGAACTGTAAGTTCATAATTATAACTTGAATATAGGTTTGGACCTCAGAGGCTTGCTTTACTCCTCCTCTCAACTGAAAGCCTCCACAATTTTAATGTTCAGAAAAGGAAAGCTCCTGAGATGCCTTATCACTAAGAAAAGTGTCCTGAGACCCTCTTGGCCATTCTGGGTGGATACTTCATATATTTGATTCTATCTTTCTTTTAAGTATGTAGCTCCTCCATAGTCATCAGTTTTCCCCACTCTGGTATGTGCCTAAATCTGGTCTCAGCACTCCACCCCACCTTCCCTTCCAAATGTTCGTCTTGTGTTTTCTAATATTCCTAATCAATAAATTACTCTGTATCTTTAATAGCTTCTCTGAACACTCCTTTCTCCCCTTGCCTTAAATATCTCCTAAGAACATTGCTTCCTCTGCAACCTTCTCAAATAGAGGCCAGTCACTGCAACCTCCCCACCCCGCCCACACACCCTACCCAGCATCTCACATACACAAGGGTTAGAAGGTGAATTATCCTTCATGTTTCCCATTGCAACTTCAAATCTTTTTTCTTCCTTCCTATAGAGCTTCCTGCTAAAGTTCTGAAACTCATACTGGCCAGCTATACCAGCCGCTCTACCCCCTCAATGCTACCATTTTATCTTTCGGTTACTCCCCTTCTTTCTTTGACAGGATTAGATCCTGGATTCTAGACCAGAGTCTTCCTTATCACCCCCACTCTGTCATCATTTTTAGTGAGGACAACACCCACGTGGTTGATCCATCACACACCCCAGTGTTTCAATTTCCTAACCACCTGAATTTCAAGACTGTTTCTTTTACAGTCTCAGCCAGCCATTCCCATAACAACACTGTGGGTCCTGTCATTATCACTTCCATAATCTCAGTTTCAAACATCCCATTTCTGATCACCACCTTCTATTTCTTTGAGCTTATTTATTCTATTAACCACTTGCTCCACTGCTACACTTTTCCAACTAGACCACCATCTATCTATTGCTGACATACACACAACTCCTGTCTTCATTTACCTCTTTTTTTTTTTTTGAGACAGAGTCTCGTTCTGTCACCCAGGCTGGAGTGCAGTGGCCCGATCTTGGGTCACTGCAACCTCTGCCTCCCAGGTTCCAGCAATTCCCCGAGCACCTGGGATTACAGGTACGCGCCACCATGCTCGGCTAATTTTTTTGTATTTTTAGTAGAGATGGGGTTTCACCATGTTGGCCAGGCTGGTCTTGAACTCCTGACCTCAGGCGATCTGCCCACCTCAACCTCTCAAAGTGCTGGGATTACAGGCGTGAGCCACTGTACCTGGTCCACTTACCTCTTTTCCAACCTTAGATGCTATGGTCCATCATTACTATCATTCCCAGGATGCTCTCTCCTTCCAGTGTACTATCCTAACAAAACCCTGGTTGAACCTGAATACCCACTTGTGTTTTGAATAATGCTAGGGAAAATAATCTTAAAGTCACTACTACAAATCTCTAATAGGCACACAATACTTTCTGGAATGTCCATTTTGTTTATCTAATAAGGTCACTTTTCTACTCCCTAAGACAACTATTTCCTACCTCTCCCTCTCCAAAAAACTTCTACACCCCAACTCCTTTTCATTCATACTTGATGAACTTGACTCATACTTCCTGAGAAAAGAGATGTTATTTGATGGAAATTCCCTCACCTTCTCACTTCCATGTATAAAACCTGCTTGTGTCAATACCTGTTGCAATGGAAGAAGTATCCCTCCTCCCCTCAACAGCTAATCTTCCCACTAGGCTCAGATCTCATCACATCACTCTTTTGAATGAGGCAGGGTGCCCCCTCACAAATGTTAATACTGGTGCGGATGCCAACAGGCTCATGAATCTTAAATGTCAGAAGAGATACTGCTTGGTCTAAACTCTAATCCAAACCTAATACACTTCCCTAAAGTACCATGTCTGGCTCTTTTCATGGAGCTACCCCAAGACACAATTCATATATACAGCCATGTGGTAAATATGGAGTCCTGGCTGTAATTACCTCACTTTTCCCCCAAAAGACGAGGCACCCATCTTGTATAGGAATGGACAACAAGTCAGTATCTCCTGTGCTCTGGGGGCTGAGGCAGCAGCCTTTCCTCCTTGGAAGGGTACAGAAAGACTTGACCAATCTTTACAATATTCTATTCCCATTTTATGGAGTGCTATGATATGAATGTCTGTGTCCTCTCAAAATTCATATGTTGAAACTTAATCCTCAATGTGACAGTATGAAGTGGGGCCTTTGGGAGGAGATTAGGTCATAAGAATGGAGGTCTCACGAATGGGATTAGTGCCCTTGTAAAAGAGTCCCAAGAGACCTAGTTCGTCTTTTCTACCATGTGAGAACACAATGAGAAGGTGCCATCTATGAAACAGGCCCTTGCCAGACATGGAATCTGCTGGTGCTTTGATCTTGGACTTCCCAGCCTCCAGAAATGTGAGAAATTACTGTTGCTTATAAGACACCTTGTTGATGGTATTTTGTTACAGCAGTCTGAACAGATTAATCATCCAGGTAATTTCTAAATTCTTCCAACATTTGTTAGAATCAAGATTTTTAGAGTCAAGGAGGACATTAGAGATTATTTGTTCAACTCCCATTTTAAAGGTTCAGCAAAACAGAGTGATTAGGACAAATCACAGTTTAGATAGTAGCAAGGTAGTGAACACAGTAGTGAACACAGTATGAATCATAATCTCTAAGACAGACGTGGTTTCCACTGTGCTATTTGAAATTGTGAGCTCCTTGTAGTAATAACACCCTAAAAGTACTATGATGTGAGCATCTGATCAAAAAGCAGAGAAATAGATTCATGGGTTCGCCTTGTTAATTACATATGGATACTCAAAAGACATCCACAATACCAGACTAGAAATCATTCATAGTGTGTAAAAGTAACATTCCAGGAGTGTACCAACCCGTTAGCTATTTTGTATATTACTTCTCCAGGACAGTCACCGCTATCATGGCTTTATTGTAAAAGGATACCGAATTCTAAAGGACTCTGGATTTAGAAGCTGCCTTTACACAGCTGGAGATAGCCTCAGTCTCCTGGTGTTTAAGCAAACCCAGTGAATTTTAAAAATTAATCTCATTTTATAATTCATCAACCAGCCACCAATTAAACAAACATATACCGAGTGCCTGTTATTGTCAGGAACTGTGTGAGATGCTGGGTTTACAGTGATAAATGTGATATAACTCCAGCTCTCAGGAACTCAGGATCTGGCAAGAATGCCCTAATGACATAGTCATGTGGTACAGCCATCTTGGAAGGCTAGCACAAGTAATTTGCTATTGATAAGAAAGTACTAAAGTTGGTGAAATGTTTACTTTTTAAAATTTGTTATAAAAAACAGATTATTATCCTTATAACTTTGTAGTCATTTACTGTCATTGTGATATACATTATTTAGCAGGAATAAAAGGGCTAGAGTTACAAATCATAAACTACAAATAATCCACACACTATCTTGTCTTTGCTACAGCTCACCATCTGGGTAAATCAATGGGGGTGTGTCAGCAAATAAAAATTATCTATAACATGTCCAAGTAGGAAAAAGTTGACAAGCATGAGTCCAGAGGCCAATGGGAGAGGGAGACACACAGATAAGCAATAATTACAAGATAGACTGTTAAGTGCTATAATAAGCACTTGGTATATGCATAGGAAGCTGTCAGCATGCAGAGTATCTAATATAGTCTTAGGGGTAAAAGAGAAAACTATGCAGATAGGAGAGGGTGGGGTTAGGGTCAGAGGAAACCATACGAGATATAGCTAATATGGGATAAGACTGATCAAGGTGGGCAGAAACAGGAGCTGAATTGGGACAGCTTAGGCAGAGCACCGGCTGGGGACCTGGGTCTCATACATCTTAAAGCAAAACAGAATTTGGAGTTTGAGCTCTCAAGTTAAACTGGAGAAACCTGGCAAAGCTCACAGTCCAGTACACAGGCTGCAGTCAACTTCCAGAGGTACAAGGACAGCGGGGGCCAGTCAGGCTGCACAGCACAGGCAAAAGCATGGTGGCATGGGTCAGAGGTCAATATTTGGGCTCAGCATTTGGAGAAATAATCTGGAAAGAGAGTCTCTGCAACCATGAGAACACGCAGGACCACAGAGCAGCAGGGGCAGGGTATAAGTGTGAGGCCAAGATAGGCCTGTCTGACCTGTGCTCTTGCAATAAGCTCTGATTTGGGTATGGTATGTGGAAGATAAGGGCTAGCAAGTGTGTGCAGCTCCAGAATCAAGCAAGTAGAAGATGTAGAATAAAAATAATACAGTGGGCAGGTGCGGGTGGCTCATGCCTGTAATCCCAGCACTTTGGGAGGCTGAGGCAGGCAGATCACGAGGTCAGAAGATCGAGACCATCCTGGCTAACACGGTGAAACCCCGTATCTACTAAAGATACAAAAAAAAAAAAAATAGCCAGGCGTGGTGGCGGGCACCTGTAGTCCCAGCTACTTGGGAGGCTGAGGCAGGAGAATGGCATGAACCCAGGAGGTGGAGCTTGCAGTGAGCCAAGATTGCACCACTGCACTCCAGCCTGGGGGACAGAGCGAGATCCTGTCTCAAAAAATAATAATAATAATAATAATAATAATAATAATAATAATAATAATAATACAGCAATATCCCCGCCACTGAAAAGCTGCCTAATAAAGGAGAAAGAAACAGGTAAGCAAACAAGCTCTAGAGATGCTGTGACAGAGCTTGTACAGGTGTAGAAGAGTGCAAAAGAGGAAGTGGTTGATTCAGCCTGGCAAGAAAGCCTTCATGACACATTCATGTGGTTGCATAAAGTTTTGAAATGTAGGTGACTAGTGACTAGACTTGGAAGATGAGTAGGTGTTTGCTTGGCAGACCTCAGAAGAAAAGGGCCACTGGGAAAGACATTCTGACCAAAGGAAGCTGCAGCATGAGCAGGAGTCAGTTGCACACATGGAGCAGTCTGGAGCATCAGGGACAGTGTCTTAGTTCATTTGTGTTGCTATAGAAGAGTACCTGAGGCTGGGTTATTACAAAGAAAAGAAGTATATTTGGCTTACAGTTCTGCAGGCTGCAAAAGAAGCATGGCACCAGTATCTGCTCCTGGTAAGGCCTCAGGAAGCTTCCAATCATGGCAGAAGACAAAGTGGGAGCAGATTTGTCACATGGCAAGAAAGGAGGAGGAGAAGGAGAGGGACAGAGATTGAGAGAGGGAAGGAAAGTGCTATGTTCTTTTTAACAATCAGATCTCATGGGAACTAACAGAGCAAGAGCTCACTCATTACCTCAATGATGGCACCAACCCATTCATAAGGGATCCACCCTCATGATCCAAACACCTCCCACCAGTCCTCACCTCTAACAATGGTGATCAAATTTCAACATAAGATTTGGAGGACACAAATATTCAAACTCTATCAGTTAGCGTGTGGACAAAACATTGAGTCAGGATGGACTTCATAATTTGTGGAGTACAGTGCGGAGAGATTTTTGAGCCTGAGACTCTGCACAGAGGGCAGAGTGGAGTGGGACTAGTTTAGATTTTATTGTGTAAGTCACTAAAGTTATTTTAAATTTTCATTTAACAGCTTTATTGAGATATAATTCACATACCTATGATTCACCCATTTAAAGTGTACAATTCATTGATTTTTAGTTTATTTACACATATGTGGAACCATCACCAGTCCATTTTAGGTTTTCATCATGTCAAAAAGAAATCTCACAGCCTATGTCTTCCACTAGCCCTAAACAACCACTAGCCTACTTTGTCTCTATAGATTTATCTGTTCTGGACATTTGTTCTGTGTGGGAAATGCACGAGGGGAGAAGAAAAGACACAAAAACAATATGTTTAGGGGTAAACAACCTTTATCCCATGTAAATGGCAATGCAGATATAATAAGCAAATGATATAATAAGCAAATTGCAATGGGAAGGGGAGAAGGAAAAAGATATATATATATTTACACTAAATATATGTATTATATATATATTTACACTCATCAGACTATGGAGGATTCACCACCAGACTGGGAAGCAACAGCCTGGGCTCCAGAGTTGGCCTCCCGTCCGTGCACAGACAAGGAGAGGTCTCATGAAGCTTCGGTGCAGTCTGGGACCCTAACTCTTTTTGTAACTAGTTGTTTGGCATGAGGCCCAGCCATGAGGGCCCTTCACGACTGGGCTCAAGGAACAAAAAAGGTCAACTTGTTTTTGTGATTGTCTATTGTTTTTTCAGTAACTAACATATAGGAATAGATTGAAATAGAGATTTTTCCAAAACAGCACAGGATGAATGCCTCAAGGGGCTCACACAACCTATTCTGGGACTTGGTGACCACTGTTTGTGTCCACATTCAATTGAGTTCAAATTTAATATTTAACTTTTCCTCCACAACATTTCATAGGAATGGAATCAAATAATATGTGGTTTTTTGTGACTGGGTTCTTTTACTTAGCATAACGATTTCAAGGTTCATCCATGTTGTAGTACGCATATTTCATTTTTATGCCCAAGTAATATTCTATTTTTTGGATATAGCACATTTTGTTTATCCATTTGTCTATTGATGGACACTTACGTTGTTTCCATGTTTTGACTATTATGATGAATGCTACCATAAATATGTGTGTACCAACTTATTTGTGGACAGACTTTGTAACTTCTGGGTATCTACCTGGGGTTGGAGCTGCTAGGTCATATGGTAACCCTACATTTAATCATTTGAGGAACTGCCAGACTGTTTTCCAAAGTGAATGCACCAATTTACATTCCTGCCAGCAGTGTGTAAGAGTTCCAATTTTTCAGAACTTCACCAACTCTTGTTATTATCAGACTTTTTTTATTCTAGCCACCCTAGTGGTTGTCAAGTGCTATCACTAAAGGTTTTTGAGCCAATAATAAATGCAAATTTAGTTTCAGAAGGATGACTCTGACATCAAGATGGGGAAAGAATTGAAATAAGTAGGACTAGAGGCATAAAAGTCTAATAAAGAGATTCTAGCAAAGTTAGTAATAATATATAATTGAATTTGCCAGGAGAGTACATCTTAAATATTTTCACTGCTGAAAACAAAAACACAAAATTTAACTATATGAGGTTAAAAGAGAGAGATGATAAACCTATGACATAGTATATGTTTCTGTCAGTGGCTACTTAAGAAATATTACAAGTAAAAGAGGCCCATCACTCCAACTACTTTGTAATATCAGGGTCTTGACTTCACATTGTTTCCTCTAAAAGTTGATCATAATCTTTTAACAACTATCATGAAAATGGAGGCCACATTTTAAGACTCTTCCAAAGGAAGCCACCTCTTCTACACCTACCAAGTTCTTTGCCTGTTCTTCCCACTTTCATCCACCCCAGTGATATTTCTGGACACAACTAGTGGTGATCCTGTTTTTAATGCATTAACAAGGATTAGGCAATTAATTGGCTCTAGAAGGTGAGAAAGAAAGAGGAGTCTAGTAACTCCTGGTTTCTGGCTGGGGTGGCTGGTAAATACTAGTTCTCACTAAGACACATAAAGCAGACCAGGAAAGAGTACTCAGGGGAAAAGGAAGTGTAGTTAGGGAAAAAGGAAGTATTCAGATTTAAGCACTTTGACATTGGAGACATCCAGGAGAAGAATTGGGCAAATAGCTGGATAGGAGTTCCCATGGTAGCGCTTCAAATTGTCTGCTTCAAGTGCTTAAACTACAAGCCTGCAGAAAAGCTTAATTATTTGCTCATTTAAATGTCTAGAACTTGCCATCCTCCTGCCCTCTGCTGTAGTAAATAGAGTTTGAAATTAGAAAATTGGCCCCAATACTCAGTGAAAAGAAATTTGGAGGAAGTATCTCAGCAAAAGATAAAGAATAGCTATGTATTTCCCCAATTCTCTTCCGTTCTTTGCTGGTGAGATGCACCATGTTTACAAAATCTAGAACCAATAACCGACTTCCCCGATACTAGAATTCATTTGTTCACTCAGTTGTTCAACAGAAATGCATCAAGTGTCAGGTACTATTCAGCTGTTCAAGATGCAATTTATTAAACAAAAGAGACATGGTTTCTGCCCATCTTATCCCCTGCCATGGAGGTGCCTCCATGGTTTTTCTCACTCACAAGCTATTTTTCTGGAAAAGACAATCATCTAGCATCTGGGAATTGCACTAGATAGGAAGATTTTATTTTATGCATCAAATAATTTTTAATAATTATTTAAACCACCTTGGAAAAACATTTTTAAATGGTTGGCAGTTCTCCTAGAATACTAAGTTTCGCGAACAACATGAAAAAAATGGTTACAAAATTGTTTAAATCTCCAAAGAATATAATGCTAATTTTCTAAAGTAAGATAAGAGTTGAAAATCCTAGTTTAAAAATGGAAACTCAGAATAAAATGTTAAATACAAAACTGTAAACACTGCAGCACTGTTTGCCTCTGGCTCAAAAAGCAAAAAAAGCAGGGCATTGAGAGGGAGCCACACTGATGTTTGCAAGGCTTTTATTTAATGGTGCAGTTTCTTTTTTTTTTTTTTTTTTTTTTTTAAAGGATTGGCTTTTTTTTTTTTTCATGTTGAAGGATTGAGCACATATTTCTATTGAGGATCTTGAGTTAGTTTGCTACTTAAAATGCAAGTTCCTTATACAGATAAGGTTTGTGTCCTATTTCCAAACACATATAATGAGTGTAGTAAAGAGGGAATTTCTTTTTTTGTTTTTCTTTTTTGGAGATAGAGTCTCTTTCTGTTGCTCAGGCTGGAGTGTGGTGGCGTGATTGCAACCTCTGCTCCCAGGGTTCAAGCTCACTGCAACCTCCGCTTCCAGGGTTCAAGCTCACTGCAACCTCCGCTTCTAAGGTTCAAGCAATTCTTGTGCCTCAGCCTCCTGAGTAGCTGGGACTACAGGCATGAACCACCATGCCCAGCTAATTTTTTCTATTTTAGTAGAGATGAGGTTTTACCATGTTGTCCAGGCTGGTCTCAAACTTTTTTTTTTTTTGTCCTCTTTAGATTTATTTAATCTCAAGAATTTCTTATTTATTTATTTATTTATTTATTTATTTTTTATTGATCATTCTTGGGTGTTTCTCGCAGAGGGGGATTTGGCAGGGTCATAGGACAATAGTGGAGGGAAGGTCAGCAGATAAACAAGTGAACAAAGGTCTCTGGTTTTCCTAGGCAGAGGACCCTGCGGCCTTCCGCAGTGTTTGTGTCCCTGGGTACTTGAGATTAGGGAGTGGTGATGACTCTTAACGAGCATGCTGCCTTCAAGCATCTGTTTAACAAAGCACATCTTGCACCGCCCTTAATCCATTTAACCCTGAGTGGACACAGCACATGTTTCAGAGAGCACAGGGTTGGGGGTAAGGTCACAGATCAACAGGATCCCAAGGCAGAAGAATTTTTCTTAGTACAGAACAAAATGAAAAGTCTCCCATGTCTACTTCTTTCTACACAGACACGGCAACCATCCGATTTCTCAATCTTTTCCCCACCTTTCCCCCGTTTCTATTCCACAAAACCGCCATTGTCATCATGGCCCGTTCTCAATGAGCTGTTGGGCACACCTCCCAGACGGGGTGGTGGCCTGGCAGAGGGGCTCCTCACTTCCCAGTAGGGGCGGCCGGGCAGAGGCGCCCCTCACCTCCCGGACGGGGCGGCTGGCCGGGCAGGGGGCTGACCCCCCCACCTCCCTCCCGGACGGGGCGGCTGGCCGGGCGGGGGGCTGACCCCCCCACCTCCCTCCCGGACGGGGCGGCTGGCCGGGCGGGGGGCTGACCCCCCCACCTCCCTCCCGGACAGGGTGGCTGCCGGGCGGAGGGGCTCCTCACTTCCCAGACGGGGTGGCTGCCGGGCGGAGGGGCTCCTCACTTCTCAGACGGGGCGGTTGCCAGGCAGAGGGTCTCCTCACTTCTCAGACAGGGTGGCCGGGCAGAGACGCTCCTCACCTCCCAGACGGGGTCGAGGCCGGGCAGAGGCGCTCCTCACATCCCAGACGGGGCGGAGGGGCAGAGGCAGTCCCCACATCTCAGACGATGGGCGGCCGGGCAGAGACGCTCCTCACTTCCTAGATGTGATGGCGGCCGGGAAGAGGCGCTCCTCACTTCCTAGATGGGATGGCGGCCGGGCAGAGACGCTCCTCACTTTCCAGACTGGGCAGCCAGGCAGAGGGGCTCCTCACATCCCAGACAATGGGCGGCCAGGCAGAGATGCTCCTCACTTCCCAGACGGGGTGGCGGCCGGGCAGAAGCTGCAATCTCGGCATTTTGGGAGGCCAAGGCAGGCGGCTGGGAGGTGGAGGTTGTAGCGAGCCGAGATCACGCCACTGCATTCCAGCCTGGGCACCATTGAGCACTGAGTGAACGAGACTCCGTCTGCAATCCCGGCACCTCGGGAGGCCGAGGCTGGCGGATCACTAGCGGTTAGGAGCTGGAGACCGACCCGGCCAACACAGCGAAACCCCGTCTCCACCAAAAATATACGAAAACCAGTCAGGCCTGGCGGCGCGTGCCTGCAATCGCAGGCACTGGGCAGGAGTGAGGAGAATCAGGCAGGGAGGCTGCAGTGAGCCGAGATGGCAGCAGTACAGTCCAGCTTCCGCTCAGCATCAGAGGGAGACCAATTGTGCAGTTTCAGTGATGAAAATTACTAAAACCCTAGATGAGACTGTTTAATCAAAGAATAATAGCACTTTGCTAAATTCTTATTGAAGTTTAATTTACATACAAAATTCTCTCATTCTAAGCAAACAATTTGATAGGTTTTGACAAATGTATACAGCCATGTACCCCATCAACACAATAGATATAGAGCAGAGGTTAATAGAACTTTTGGTAATGATGGAAATATTCTGTATCTGGCTTGTCCAATGTGGTAGCCGTGAACTACATTGGCTATAGAACACTTGAAATGTGGCTTGGGGAATTAGGGTGCTGAATTGTTAACTATCTCATTTTAACAGCACATAGCATTTTCTTCACTCCCAAAAGTTCCTGTTGCTATCATCTTGCAGTGTTACTCTAGTGCCCTCTACTGACAAAGCCTAGCATTCCACTAGCTGGCAAATAAATATTTATAGGATGCAACCTCACTATTACAAAGCAGGGACTAGAAGGGTAGATTTCAATCGATGACTGGTCCAATAGGTGTGCTTAATTTTGATGAATTTCAGTTTATCCATTTTCTTTGTCCTTTTTGTCTTACCTTAGAAATCTTTGACTAAATAGTTTCTCTTAGATTTTCTTTTAGAAGTTTCGTAGTTTAGCTCTTACATTTAGACCTATCATTCAACTTGTGTTAACATTTTTATATGGTGGCCAGGTATGGTGGTTCATGCCTGTCATCCCAGCATTTTGGGAAGCAAGGTGAGAGGATCACTTGTGGCCAGGAGTTCAGGGCCAGCCTGGGCAACATAGGGAGACCCCATCTCTACAAAAAATACAAAAGTTAGCCAGGCATGGTGGCATACCCCTGTGGTCCTAGTTACTCAGGAGGTTGAAGCGGGAGGATCACTTGAGCCCAAGAGTTCAAGGCTGCAGTGAGCTTGATTGTGCTACTGCACTCCAGCCTGGGTGACAGAGTGAGACCCTATCTCTAAAAAAAAAAAAAAAAAAAAAAAAATTACATGGCGTGAGGTAATGATATTTTTACATATGGATATCTAATAGCTTCAGCATTTGCTGAAACACATTTGTCAACAATCACTTGACCGTTTACATACCGGTCTATTTCTGAACTCTCTGGTTTATATGTCTATCCTTACACCAATGAAACTATTTGGATTATAGCAACTTTATAGTAAATCTTGAAATCAGTTACTGTGAGTCTAACTTTATTCTTTTTCAAAATTATTTTGGCTCTTCTGGGTAGTGTGCACTTCAATATAAATTTTAGAATCAGCTTGTTAATTTCCATTA
The DNA here is from genome assembly GCF_000001405.40 of Homo sapiens. Classification (NCBI taxonomy): domain Eukaryota; kingdom Metazoa; phylum Chordata; class Mammalia; order Primates; family Hominidae; genus Homo; species Homo sapiens. Next base: position 112,549,753 of record NC_000007.14, on the reverse strand, counting down.
AGGAAAATGCCTCCTGGGATATGCGAGATTTTATTAAATCTATAAATGAGGTTAACTGACATTTTAATTCTATTGCATCTTCCAATTCATAAATTCAGTATATCTTTCCATTTATTGTAATTTTATAAAATGTATCTAAGCAATGTTTTGTAGTTTTCCTCAGTTGTTATTCTGGGGATTAGACAAACTCACAATTCTTACCCCTTCTGGTTCAGAGATTAAACTTTTGTCTGTCTTTCAGCTGCTTTTCAATACTTTCTAATATCTTTAAATAGTTTTTTAATTATTTAACAAGTTTTTATAATTATCTGCTTGGAATTTGTGGGATCACTTCACTCCTCCAAAAGCAAACTCCTTAAATATGTTGATAATAATCAAGTCTAAAGCAAAGATTAGAGCTCTTCTTGGCTCTAAATTCTATCAACTTTCTAGTCACATCTGGTGCTTGCATTATGATATCTTCATTTTAGTCAGCTAAAGCCTGAAATAGGAAGAACAAAATAGACAAAGCAAGCTCGTTTTCTATCAAGCTTCTTATATTTGTGAATTACACAGATTAGAACAGATTTACCAATCAGAAAACCCAAAGATGTGGTCATTCTCTCAAAATATTATATTATAAAGCACGTAAAAATCCTCATGGAAAGTGAAGTAGTGAGGAGAGTACAAGTACATATTTCACAATATTATCCAATGTGTTTTATTTCTCATTTCCAGTAATTCCTCCTACCATGCAACTATTTTCCCCAATTTCTTCGTTCAGAAAGCAGCAAGAGCAAGGGGGTCTCATATTCACTGCCATGTTCAGGTTTTGTTGTTACAGCAGAAATGAAGTTGGAAAGAAATTAGTTAATACTAAGTATTTGAAGTACAAATTAGACTTGAATATTCTGACAAAAACAATATCCTTATTTAACTTAATTATTCAATTTTATTTTTAAAATATTTGACTAGTTGATACATGTACATAGTACAGCATTCATAAAGTACAAAAAAAGTCTATCATGAAAAAGTTTCCTTCACTCATTTCTCCCCACCAGCAAGTTTCTTCTCATGTTTTCTTCTAAAACCTTTATAGTTTTATTTTTTATATAAAAATACTTGAATCATCTGAAGGTATTTTTATGTAAAGTGTAAACTGTGGATCCACTTTGGTTTTGTTTCCAGGTGGTTACTCAATTGTACCAATACCATTTGCTAAATAATCTACATTTCTCTTTACTAATCTGAAATGTTGCTTTCATCATCTGGATATTGAGGGCTTTAAAGCAATAAAACAATTTCAAACTACATACACCTCTATTTGCCTTTTTTAGATCACTACTTAATTTCACATTGTTTTTGGTATTATGTAGTAAACAAAGAGAAATTTTAACTTGGAAAAATTATTTTTATAAAACTTTCTAAATGATTCATCAGTTTCCTATGATTAGCATTTAGAGAATACTTACTATATAACAAGCAACTCACTGGGTATGAAGGAAATGGAAGTGTTTATATATTTATTTATTTTTGAGGGTCTCACTCAACCAGGCTAGAGTACAGTAGCGCTATCACAGCTCACTGCAGCTTCAACCTCCCAGGCTGAAACAATCTTCCCACCTCACCCTCCTGAGTAGCTGGCCACAGGCATGCAACACTACATAATTGCTTGCTTAGCTGTACTATTTTTTGTAGAGACTGTGGGTGGCTATATTGCCCAGGCAGGTCTTGAACTCCTGGCCTCAAGCCATCTTCCTGCATTGGTCTCCCAAAGTGCTGGGATTACAGGTGTGAGCCACCATGCCTGGCTGAGTTGTTCATTTTGATAAAACGTTTGCTCAAAACCTATCCTATGATAGACTATCTGGAAACACAAACCATCAAGAGGTTTATCTCTGGGGAAGTGACTTAATTTTTATGGCATACCCTTTTTTCACTTTTTGAATTTTATGTCCTATGTCTGTTACTTATTTTAAAAGTTTTGATTCTAAAATCCTATGGAGGGACCAAGATGGCCGACTAGAAGCCACTGTGAACCACGGCTCCCACTAAGGAGAACAAAAATGGTGAGTGGATCCTGCACCTTCAGCTGAGGTATGCAGATTCTCTTATTGGGACTGATGAGGCGGTTGGCATGACCCACAGAGAACGAGGAAAAGCAGAGTGGAGCAAAGGCCCACCCGGGAGCTGCACAGGGCAAAGGGAACTCCCAACCCCAGCCAAGGGAGGCGGTGAGTGATTGTTCTACCCCACCCAGGAAAACATGCTTTTTCCATGGATCTGTGCAACCTGCGATCAGGAGATCCCCTCCGTGAGCCCACGCCACCAGGGCCTTGGGTCCCAAGCACAGAACTGTGCAGACATTAGGTAGCCGCTCAGGTTGCGGCCAGTGGCAGCACACTGGAGACTGCCTAAGACACACCCAAGTTGGTTGGGTAGGGGGTGGGGACAGCCGCCATCCCTGCAGCTCCAGTCGGCCGTTCTCCCCTGCCGGTGCCAGGGAGACCGGATGATTTGCACTGGGAGGAATTCCCCACGGTACGGCTGTGGCAGACCACGGCCAGACTGCTTCGTTAGGTGAGACCCGGATCCATTTCTCCTCACCAAGCAGGGCCTCCCTGTGGGAATTTCAGCAACTCCAGCCAGATGTTTACGGACAGAACGCTGATCTCCCTAGGACTGAGCCCCTGCGGGGAGGAGTGGCCGAAATCTCCATGGTTCAGGGGATTTAGTCTTTCCTGCCTGCTGACTCTGAAGAATCCAGGCAGCCCGGACAAGGGGGGTTCCCTACAGTGCAGTGCGTCCACTCTGCCAAGGGGCAGCCAGAGTGCTTTATTAAGCGGGTCTTGATCCTGTGTCTCCTGACTGTGTGAGACCCCTCCCAACAGGGGTCGCCAGACACCTTATAAAAGAGTGTTCCCACCAGCATCAGGTCGGTGCCTCTCTGGGATGGAGCTCCCAAAGGAAGGAGCAGGCAGCCATCTTTGCTGTTCCGCAGCCTCCACTGGTGACACCTCCAGGTGTGGAATGACCTAGGTGAATAGGGTCAGGAGTGGACCCCCAGGAAACCACAGCAGCTCTATGGAAGAGGAGTCTGACTATTAAAAGAAAAATAAATAGAAAGCAACAACAACAAAATGAAAAAGACCCCACAAAAAAACCATCCAAAGGTCAGTAGCCTCAAAGTTCACAAAGATGAGAAAAAATCAATGCAAAAACGCTGAAAACTTGGAAAGCCGGAGTGCCTCTTCTCCTCCAAATGACTGCAATACCTCTCTAGCAAGGGCACGAGCTGGGCTGAGGCTAAGATTGATGAACTGACAGAAGTAGGCTTCAGAAGGTGGGTAATAACAAACTTCAGTGAGCTGAAGAACTATAGTCTAACCCAATGCAAAGAAGCTGAGAACAATGATAAAACATTACAGGAGCTGTTAACCAGAATAACCAGTTTAGAGAGTACCATAAATGACCTGATGGAGCTGAAAAACACAACACAAGAACTTCACAATGCAACCACAAGTATCAATAGCCAAATAGACCAAGAAAAGGAAAGAATCTCAAAGCTTAAAGACTATATTGCTGAAATAAGTCAGATAGACAAGATTAGAGAAAAACAGAATGAAAAGGCATGAACAAAACCTCTGAGAAATAGGTGATTATGTAAAGAGACCAAACCTACGACTGATTGGGGTACCTGAAAGAGACGAGAACCAAGTTAGAAAACCAAGTTAGAAAACATACTTTGAGATATCATCCAGAAGAATATCCCCAACCTAGCAAGAGGGCAAATGTTCAAATTCAGGAAATCCAGAGAACCCCAGTGAGATACTCCATGAGAAGATTATCCCCAACACACATAATTATCATATTCTGAAAAGTCAAAATAAAGAAAAAATCTTAAGGGCGCCAGAGAGAAAGGCCAGGTCACCTACAAAGGGAAGCCCATCAGACTAACAGTGGACCTCTCAGTGGAAACCTTACAAGCCAGAAGAGATTGGAGGGGTCAATATTCAACATTCTTACATGAAAGAATTTCTAACCCAGATTTTCATATCCAGCCAAGCTAAACTTCATAAGTGAAGGAGAAATAAAATCCTTTTCAGACAAGCAAATGCTGAGAGAATTCATCACCACCAGGCCTGCCTTGCAAGAGCTTTTGAAGGAAGCACTAAATATGGAAAGGAAAAACTGCTACCAGCCACTACAAAAACACACTAAAGTGCACGGACCAGTGACACTCTGAAGCAACCACATAAACAAGTCTGCAAAATAACCAGCTAGCATCATGATTACAGGATCAAATTCACACATAACAATACTAACCTTAAATGTAAATGGGCTAAATGCCCCAATTAAAAGACACAGAATGTCAAGCTGGATAGAGTCAAGACCCATCAGTGTGATGTATTCAAGAGACCCATCTCACATGCAAAGACACACATAGGCTCAAAATAAAGGGATGGAGGAAAATTTACCAAGCAAATGGAAAACAGAAAAAACCAGGGCTTGTAATCCTAGATTCTGACAAAATAGACTTTAAATCAACAAAGATCAAAAAAGACAAAGAAGGGCATTACATAATGGTAAAGGGTTCAAGAAGAAGAGCTAACTATTCTAAATATATATTAACCCAATACAGGAGCACCCAGCTTCATAAAGCTAGTTCTTAGAGACATACAAAGAGACTTAGACCCCACACAATAACAATGGGAGACTTTAATACCTCACTGTCAGTATTAGACAGATCTTTAGAGACAGAAAATTAACAAAGATATTCAAGACTTGAACTCTTCTCTGGATCAAGTGGACCTGATAAATATCTACAGAACTTTCCACCCAAAAACAACAGAATATATAGTCTTCTCAGTGTCACATGGCAGTCACTTATCCAAAATCAATCACATAAGATCACATAATTGGAAGTAAAATACTCCTCAGCAAATGCAAAAGAACTGAAATCATAACAGTCTCTCAGACACAGTGCAATTAAATTAGAACTCAAGGCTAAGAAACTCACTCAAAACCACACAACTACATGGAAATTGAACAACCTGCTCCTGAATGACTTTTGGGTAAATAATGAAATTAATGCAGAAATGAAGAAGTTATTTGAAACAAATAAGAACAAAGAGACAATGTACCAAAATCTCTGGAACGCAGATAAAGCAGTGTTAAGAGGGAAATTGATAGCAATAAATGCCCACAAAAAAAGCTAGAAAGATCTCAAATTGACATTCTAACATCACAACTGAAAGAACTAGAGGACCAAGAGCAAACATCCCAAAGCTAGCAGAAGACAAGAAATAACCAAGATCAGAGCTGAAATGAAGTAGATACAGACCTGAAAATCCCTTCAAAAAAATTAATAAATCCAGGAACTATTTTTTTGAAAAAATTTAAAAAATAGATACACCACTAGCTAGACTAATGAAGAAAAGAGAGAAGAATCAAATAGACACAATAAAAAGTTATAAAGGGGATATCATCAATGACCCCACAGAAATACAAACAACCATCAGAGAATACTATAAACACCACTATGCACATAAACTAGAAAATCTAGAAGAAATGCATTAATTCTTGGGCACATACACCCACCCAAAGCTTAACCAGAAAGAAGTTGAGTCCCTGAATAGACAAATAAAAAGCTCTGAAATTGAGGCAGTAATAAATAGCCTACCAACCAAAAAATGCCTAACACAAGATGGATTTACAGCTGAATTCTACCAAAGGTACAACTAGATGGAACCATTCCTACTGAAACTATTCCAAACAATTAAAAAGGATGGACTCCTCTCTAACTTATTTTTTGAAGTGAACATCATCCTGATACCAAAACCTGGCAGAGATAAAACAAGAAAACTTCAGGGCAATATCCCTGATCAACATCAATGCAAAAATCTTCAATAAAATACTAGCAAACTGAATCCAGCAGCAAATCAAAAACTTATCCACCACGATCAAGTCGGCTTCATCCCTAGGATGCAAGGTTGATTCAACATATGCAAATCAATAAATGTAATTCATCACATAAATATAACTAAAGACAAAAACCACATGATTATCTCAATAGATGCAGAAAAGGCCTTCGATAAAATTCAACATCCCTTCATGTTAAAAAACTATCAATAAACTAAGTATTTAAGGAACATACCTCAAAATAGTAAGAGCCATTAATGACAGACCCACGGCCAATATCATACTGAATGGGCAAAAGCTGAAGCATTCCCCTTGAAAACCAGCACAAGACAAGGATGCCCTCTCCCACCACTCTTGTTCAACATAGTATTGGAAGTTCTGGCCAGGGCAATCAGGTAAGAGAAAGAAATAAAGGATATTCAAATAGGAAGAGAGAAAGTCAAACTATCTCTGTTTGCAGATGACATGATCCTATATTTAAAAACCCCATTGTTCCAGCCCAAAAGCTTCTTAAGCTGATAAGCAACTTCAGCAGAGTCTCAGGATACAAAATAAATCAATGTGCAAAGGATCACAAGCATTTCTATACATCAACAACAGACAAGCAGAGAGCCAAATCATGAACGAACTCCCCTTCACAATTGCTACAAAGAGAATAAAATACCTAGGAATATAGCTAACAAGGGACTTGAAGGACCTCTTCAAGGAGAACTACAAACCACTGCTCAAGGAAATCAAAGAGGACACAAATGAAAAAGCATGCCATGGTCATGGACAGGAAGAATCAATAATCAATATCGTGAAAATGGCCATACTGCCCAAAGTAATTTATAGATTCAATACTATCCCCATTAAACTACCACTGACATTTTTTACAGATTTAGAGAAAACTATTTAAAAATTTATCTGGAACCAAAAAAAAAGCTTGTATAGCCAAGACAATACTAAGCAAAAATAACAAAGCTCTAGGCATCATGCTACCTGACTTCAAACTATACTACAAGGCTACAGTAACCAAAACAGCATAGTACTGGTACAAAAACAGACACATGTACCAATGGAACAGAATAGAGAACTCAGAAGACTGCATATCTACAACCATCTGATCTTCAACAAATCTGACAAAAACAAGCGATGGGGAAAGTATTCCCCATTTAATAAATGGTGGCAGGGAGAACTGGCTAGCTATATGCAGAAAAATGCAACTAGACCAGTTCCTTACACAAAAATTAACTCAAGATGGATTAAAGACTTACAGTAAAACCCAAAACTATAAAAAGCCTGGAAGAAAATCTAGGCAATACCATTCAGGACATAAACATGGGCAAAGATTTCATGATGAAAATTTCAAAAGCAATTGCAATAAAAGCAAAAATTTGCAAATGGAATCTAATTAAACTAAGAGCTTCTCCAAAAGACACATGAAAAAATGCTAATCATCATTGGCCATCAGAGAAATGCAAATCAAAACCACAATGAGATACCATCTCACACCAGTTAGAATGGCGATCATTAAAAAGTCAGGAAACAACAGGTGCTGGAGAGGATGTGGAGAAATAGGAACACTTTTACACTGTTGGTGGGACTGTAAACTAGTTCAACCATTGTGGAAGACAGTGTGGCGATTCCTCAGGGATCTAGAACTAGAAATACCATTTGACCCAGCCATCCATTACTGGGTATATACCCAAAGGATTATAAATCATGCTGCTATAAAGACACATGCACACGTATGTTTATTGCAGCACTATTCACTATAGCAAAGACTTGGAACCAACCCAAATGTCCAACAATGATAGACTGGATTAAGAAAATGTGGCACATATACACCATGGAATGCTATGCAGCCATAAAAAAGGATGAGTTCACGTCCTTTGTAGGGACATGGATGAAGCTGGAAACCAACATTCTCAGCAAACTATCGCAAGGACAAAAAGCCAAACACTGCATGTTCTCACTCATAGGAGGGAATTGAACAATGAGAACACTTGGACACAGGAAGGGGAACATCACACACCGGGGCCTGTTGTGGGGTGGGGGGAGGGGGGAGGGATAGCATTAGGAAATATACCTAATGTAAATGACGAGTTAATGGGTGCAGCACACCAACATGGCACATGTATACATATGTAACAAACCTGCATGTTGTGCACATGTACCCTAAAACTTAAAGTATAATAAAAAATAAAAAAATAAAAAACTAAGAGCTTCTGCACAGCAAAAGAAACTATCATTGGAGTGAACAGACAACTTATAGAGTGGGAGAAAATCTGACAAAGGTCTAATATCCAGAATCTACAAGCACCTTAAACAAATTTACAAGAAAAAAAAAAACATTAAAAACTGGGCAAAGGACATGAACAGACATTTCTTAAAAGACATTTATGCGGCCAAGAAACATATGAAAAAAACAACATACTGATCATTTGAGAAATGCACATCAAACCCACAATGAGATACCATCTCATGTCATGCGAGTCATCATGGCAATTATTAAAAAGTCAAGAAACAGCAGATGCTGGTGAAGCTGCAGAGAGACAGGAATGCTTTCACACTGGTGGGAATGTAAATTAGTTCAATCATTGTGAAACCGAGTGTGATGATTCCCCAAATACCTAGAACCAGAAATACCTTTTGGTCCCATAATTCCGTTACAGGTATATACCCAAAGGAATATAAATAATTCTGTTATAAAGATACATGCACACGTACATTCACTGCAACACAATTCACAGTAGCAAAGATGTGGAATCCACCCAAATGCCCATCAATGATAGACTGGATAAAGAAAATGTGGTACATATATACCATGGAATACTATGCAGCCATAAAAAGGAACAAGATCATGTCCTTTGCAGGGTCATGGATGGAACTGGAAATCATTATTCTCAGCAAACTAATGCAGGAACAGAAAACCAAATACCGCATGTTCTCACTTATAAATGGTAGCTGAACAATGAACATATAGACACAGGAAGGGGAAGAACACACACTGGGACCTGTTGGAGAGTCAGCAGGAGGGAGAGCATCAGGAAAAATAGCTAATGCATACTGGGCTTAATACCTGGGTGATGGGTTGACAGGTGCAGCAAATCACCATGGCACACATTTACCTATATAACAAAACTGCACATCCTGAACATGTACCCCAGAACTTAAAATTATTTTTTTAAAAAAGAGGGAAAAAATTCAATGTGTTCCATAAATAATTTGTAACACTTAGTGGATTTTTATATCTCACTAAAAGTCATTCCACATTGTAGCAAGTTAATAACTAACACACTCTCTTATTTATCTAATTTTTTTTTCAAAGAACAGAGCCTGCTGTTTGACTCAATTTGCCAACCAGCATAGATTATTGTTGGATGCAGAGGATCTTACGACCCTTCACTTGTTCTTAATTAACCACAAGAGCTCCACAGGGAGAATTCTAGTGTATAGCATTAGTCTCTACTTGAAAATCAGTCTATTTGTACTTAGCACTAGCTTCTCCAAAGCTCTCCCACGACTCTCCGCTGAGTCCTACATCCCATGTTAATGCAGCATCTCAATCCCTATGTCGACAGAGATTAGAAGACCATTTTTCATCTAATTCCCTTGCCCCACAGCACTCACCTCTGTCAATGAGAGTGTAGCTAGGAGGAACTCAGCAAGGTGCTGAGGAAAGCTGGAATGAACCCTCTGTGAATATTAAATATACTGAGGTGAAGCACTGAGAGAACACCGATGAACTATTGTTTCAGTAGCTTAAAATGAATTAACTTTTTATCACATTCAGGTTCTAAGATAAACGAGAAGATGAGTGAAGCATTACCCAAGACATTTGCTTTGTGGTTGTGCAAAGGAGTAGCCTAACACAGAAGGCTACTCAGTCTGTGGTCAATCTCAGAGGTGTTTGGATCATGCTGCAGTGTGGGGAGGATTGAAAGAGGGCAAGACCGGAGTAGAGAGACCATTTAGAAGACAGAATTAAAGCAGTAAGTGTGGGATAGAAATGACAGGAAAACAATTAAGGAGGAAGATCTAAAACATAATAACCAGGTAGAATCAGCAGGACCTGAGGACTGACAGGCAGTTTAGAGAAATTAAGAACAGGACCCTGCAGTCAGTGACTTCTGGCACTATTATTAAGAATTCTGGCTTAGTAAGACTAACAGAAATAGCAACTGAGTTATTAGTAATATTGGATTCGTAGTAATATTGAATTAGTAGTAATATCGAGTGGAAATAGTGAGAGATAGGGATGATTCTCAGGTTCAGGATTACATGACTGGTAAGTAGAGGTACTTTCTCTGGTAAAAAGAGGAAATACAGAAAGAAGAACAGGTTTGGGTGGGAGGAGGGAAAAATGAAAAAGATGCTGTGTTAGAGGAGCTTGGGAAACATGCAGTTAGAAACATGCCACAGGCAGATGCATAGGTGAAAACTGCAGGCAGGAGAGGAGTTGAAGTGTAGAAATACAGAGCTGTGAATGGTCACACATATTAGTAGTTGACAGTATCAGTAAATGAGAAAAGAGAGAACCAGGAAAAATACGTAGAATGTAGGAAAGGGGGAATGGAGTGAGAGGGAAGACCAGAGGGCTTGCAGGGAAACAAGGGCAGCAATAGTGACACAGAAGCAAGGGAGGGGAGAGTTCTAGAAACAAGGATCTGATCAGACACGGCCTCCTCACCAGATCAACCCAAGCAAGGTTGTGTCCAGAAATGCATAAGATTTGAGAACTTCTCTAGGACCTCAGGCCCAGGTCTCAAAGAGGATCCCCTGGGGCACACTAGGAACCTCCCACCAGTCTTCCTGGAAGCCGCCCTGATAGCAATGGCCAGAACAGAGCAGTCCTCCTCTACATTCATATCTCGAGTCAGCCAGAAGTTTCACAGCTCCTACAAAGCAGAGAGAATTTATCCCACTGTTCAGTATGTGGCCCACGTCAGCTTCACAGCAGCTGGAAAAAATTTAAAACTCAGGGAATCATGGAATGGTGACAAAACAACTTGCCTACTAATAAGTTAGAGATGAGAGTTATATGTTGGAACTGCAAAGCTGACAATCTTGGATTCATCTATACTATAGTGATAGAGTAGTAATGTCTTCTTTGTGAAAGCAAATGTTCTAGATAAAGTTTACCATTTTAGAAAATAAGCATTTTATTTTAGCCATCTTTTAACATAAATCTCATCAAAATTTTTCTACATTCCCAATACATGGTACACTGGATATAATATAGTCTTGCTTGCAAACTCAAGATCATCATTACGATTGTTATTTCTCATGGTAAATAATGGAAAGGATGAGAAGAAGTCACATTTATTGTTCACCTACTATGTGTCTGATATATAATACTTAACTTACTTGAACCTATGAACTAGGCATTGTTATCTCCATTCTACAAATAAAGACACTAAGGCTTAGAAAGATTAACTTGTCCAAAATAAGATATATTTAGCCAAAATATGTATCTAGTTATATCTGATTTCAAAACTTTTCTATCCCTCTTCCCACAACCCTCCCCAAACTTTACCCCAACTTTTGAAAGTTGCTTTTTATAATCATTTTTTGCTACGGGGGCCCTTAAAGACTGTTTACCTCTATACCAAACAGCCCAGTTTGCTGAGATTTTAAAAGACGATTTCTCTCCCTCCTCCCTTGCTACGAGTATCACTTTCAATATATCAGCTTTAGCAGTAACCCCTCCCTTCTCCTAATATGTTTTTTTCTAAAACCTAGGCAACTTGCCAGGGAAAACCAAATTGCCTATCTTATTAAATGAATAATACTTGAGAGAGAGATTCCTATCTCTTCTGTGAATACTGTTTTCATCCTTTCTTAGAGACCTTTTAATACTGTCAGATTTATGGCTGTATTCATGAAGGTCAAAGTTCACCAAAGTCTAAATATTAAATAAATTGCTTTCTGGGTTTGCCTAACAAGTCTTCACCCAATCACTAAACCATATGTGGGCCATAGTGATTAGTCCAGAGGTGGGCAGATACCCAAGCCAAACAATCAGAGCTTTTCCTGGGGATTTTTCTGGCTGGAGTTAGCACCAAAGAGATGCTCTTGTCACTGGAGCTATTACCTTATGAGTGCAGAGTTTTTCACCACTTTATGGAACAGCCTACTGTTGTAGTAGAGAATAACTACCACTCATAGAGTGAACAGAGACCAAAGACAGAGAGAAAAGGGATCTAGATAGCCTTTGTCTCTGGATCCAGTTATTCCTAGATCTGCAACCACCATGGTCTTACAAGCATATAAATTCCCCTCCCTTTTATTTTTCTTCAGCTAGCTATACTTGTCTTTCTGTCACTTGTCACTGATAGATCCTTTACCAATAAATGTGGACATTAACCAAGAAAGTACTTCTCAACTTTGTCTGCATATTAGAGTCATCTGGGGAGTTTTTTAAAGTCCCAGTGCCCAGGCAGCATCCAAAACCAATTAAATCAGAACTTCTGAAGGTGGGAACCAGCAACCAGTATTTTTGTAAAGCTCCCCAGGGGAATCCAGTGTGCATCCAGGATAAAAATAACTGCTCTGGAACAGCTTTCAGTGTTCCATAAAAAGTGGCTTATCAAAAACCAGCAAGAAAGGATGAAACTTTGAAAATATTCTTATTGAAAAAAAAACCAAAAGAACAATTGCTACTGTTCCTTGTGCCACTCAAGGCATACTGAAAATCATAACTGATGCAATAATACTAAAAATGCTGTATAAAGTTTAAATCTAGAAAGTGAACAAACAACACTGTCATCTTTGGGAGAAAATATAATTGTCCACATAGAAAATCCAATAAAATATGTAGACAAATCATTAGAATTACTATTAGAAAAGTGACTTGATACAAAATCAACACAGGCACAAAGTGTCAGTTCTCTCCAAATAAATATGTGTAATCAGTAGAAATGTCCCAGGACTTCTTACAGAACTTGGCCAGCTCATCCTAATGTTCACTTAGAAAAATAAGGGACCAATGACAGCCAAAACAACTTTGGAATTGTTTACAACAAGTAAGGGACATGCCTAGCAGATATAAAGTCTCTCTCTCTTTCCCTTCTAAATTATATTTTGTACACAGACACGCGCGTGCACACACACACACACATTCTTATACCATGCATATCTACTTTGACTCCAGAGATTAAAGTAGTATGCTACCAATACAGTAAAAAAAAAAGAAAAAAAACCAAATTGATTAATAACAAAGAATAGAAAGTCCAGAATCAGACCAACACATATCCAAAAAGTTGGTAAGTAACAGAGATAGCATAACAAATCAATGAGGGAAAAAAATTAACTATTTAATAGATGGCACTTTGCATGGGGGCAAAATAGATTCCTATTTTCACAAAAGATAAATTACAGAAGAAGAATTAAAGACCTAAGCTTAAAGGCAAAATTTTAAACATTTTAGACAAAAAAAAAAAAGAAGAGTATTTTTATAACCTAGGATAGGGAAGGGATTCTTAACAAAATTTAAAAGTACAAAATACAAAGAAACCCACTAATAAATTTGACACTTAAATTTAAAACTTCTACTATATAACACAACACTATAAAAAGATATAAGCCACAAAATGGGGGAAAATATTTGTGCTGTAGAAAGCCAACAAAGAATTAGTATCCAGGCTATGTTAAGAATTCCTGTAAGTCAAGAAACCTAACAGAAAAATAGACAAAAATGGGTGGGAATGGGCAAATTACAGATGAAACCCCCGCAACAAATAAATAAACATATGAAAACTATAAAGCATGATATATTTTACACTCATCAAATTAACAAGAATTTAATAACATGACAATCACAAATTTGGGGAAGGATATCGGCAAAGGGAACTCTGAAAAACAAGTGTAAGCATATATTGTCACAACCTGTTAGAACTGTTTGAACTTGTCCTAAGATCCAATAATTCTATCTGAAATATATGCTAGGGATACTATAGTCCATATGGACTATGAGACATGTGCAAGTGTATTCACTGCAGCATCATTTGTAATAGCAAGAAAAGAAAGAAATGAAACAAAAAAACTGACCGATGAATAAATTATGATATATTTATTTTGGAACTATACAACTGTTAAAATGAACTAGAACTGCATGCATTCATATAGATAATACACAAAAGCATATTATTCATTCTTGTATTATAAAAACATTCAATAAACTAGGAATAGAAGGAAGTTACCTCAACTTGATAAAAGGAATCTATGAAAAACCCACAACTAAACTCATACTCAGCAATACAGGAAAAGGAAACTCTCATCAGCAAGTGGAAGCATGTGTTGTCACAATCTTTTAGAACTCTTTGAACTTGGTTGGGCGCAGTGGCTCATGCCTGTAATCCCAGCACTTTGGGAGGCCAAGGCTGGCGGATTACCTGAGGTCAGGAGTTCAAGACGAGCCTGGCCAACATGGTGAAACCCTGTCTCTGCCAAAAAATATATAAAAATTAGCTGGGCATGGTGGCACATGCCTGTAAACCCAGCTACTCAGGAGGCTGAGGCAGGAGAATTGCTTGAGCCCGGGAGAGGAAGGTTGCAGTGAGCCGAGATCGTGCCACTGCACTCCAGCCTGGCTAACAGAGCAAGACTCTGTCTCAAAAAAAAAAAAAAAAAAAAAAAAAAAACTTTGTCCTAAGATTCAATAATTATATTTACTTAACTATTAACTTGATGTTTTTCCCCTAAGATCAAGAACAATACAGATGTCCATACTCATCACTTCTCTTCAACATTGTACTGTAAGTTCTAGCTGGAGAAATTAGGTAAGAAAAAAAAAGGCATCTAGATTGGAATGAAGAAGGAAAACTACCTCTAATCACAGATGGCATGATCTTGTATATAGAAAATTCTAAGGAATTTTTTGAAATCAAGACTAATAAACAAGTTTGGCAAGATTGCAGATAAGAGATCAATATATGAAAATCTATTGTTTTTCCATATACTTGCAATGAGCAACCAAAAATTAAATTAACATAATTCCATCTATAATTGCATCAAAAATAATAAAACACTAAGGAGTAAATTTAATGAAGTACAAAGATTATAACCTGAAAACTACAAAAATTGTTTAAAAAAATTAAAGAAGATCAAAATAATTGGAAAAATCCTATGTTCACAGACTTGAAGACTTAACATTGTTAAGATGGCAATACTCCCAAATTAATCTACAGATGCAATACTTATCAGAATCTCACCTGACTTCTTTGTAGAAATGGACAAACTGATCCTAAAATTCATAAGGAATTGCAAAGAACCCAGAATGGCCAAAAACAGTCTCAAAAACAAGAACAGAAGTAGGAAGACTCACATGTCCTAATTTCAAATTTTAGTACAAAGAAATAATAATCAAGACAGCATGGTACTGGCACAAGGATAGACATATAGATCAATAGGCTAGGATTGAGAGTCCAGAAATAAATCCATATATCCATGGCCAACTGATTTTAGGCAAGGGTGACAAGATCATTCCATAGGAGAAAAAAAAATAGCCTTTTCAACAAATGGTGCTGGGACAACTGGATAGCCATATGCAAAAGAATGAAGTTGGACCCTTACCTCATACCATATAAAAAAATTAAGGTAGATTGAAGATGTACACAGAAGAGCTAAAACCAGGAAACTTAGAAGAAAACAGGGGTAAGTTTTCATGACCTCCTTGGATTATGCGATGAATTCTTAAATATAACACCAAAGCATGAGACAGAAGAAAAAAATAGTTAAATTGGACTTCATCAAAATTAAAAGTTTTTGTTCTACAAAGGATATCACAAAAGTGAAAAGACAGTCTATAGAATGGAAGAAAATATTTGCAACCTCTATATCTAATGAGACTGGTATCCAGAATATTTAAAGAACACTTACAATTTAATAATAAGGCAAATAAACCAATTTAAAAATGAGCAAAAGAGCTGAATAGAAATTTCTCCAAGGTAGATATAAAAATGGCCAATAAGCACAGAAAAGATGCCTAACACTATTAGTCATCAGGAAATGCAAATCAGAACCACAAGACACCGCTTCATACCCACAAGGACAGCTAGAATTAAAAAGTCAGACAAGTACAAGTGTTGACAAACGTGGAGAAATCAGTACCCTCATACATTACTCATGGGAATGTAAAATGGCACAGCCTCTTTGGAAACAGTCTGGCAGTTCTTCAGATGATATTGGTATACAAAAGAATGGAAGCATATTACACAAAAACTTGTTCATGAATGTTTATAGCAACACTATTCATAATAGCCAAAGGTGGAAACAATCCCAACGTCCATCAATGAACAAATGGATAAACAAAATGTGGTATATCTACACAATGAAATATTATTTGGTCATAAAAAGGAATGAAGTACTGATACATGCTACCACATGTATGAACCTTGAAAAATTATGCCAAATGTGTGCTGAGTGAAAGAAGCCTATCACAAAAGACCACATATTACAGTACACAGTTCCTAAGAAATGTGCATAATAGGGAAATCTAAAAGACATCAAGTAGATTAGCGGTTATTCCAACTAGGAAAGGAAGGAAGTGGGGAGATAAGGTGGTGATAGCTAATGGGCACGGGTTTTCTTTTTTAGATAAAAATATTCATATTCAGTTGGGTGTGGTGGCTCACACCTGTAATCCCAGCACTTTGGGAGGCAGAGGCGGGAGGATCCCTTGAGCCCAGGAGTTGGAGACCAGCCTGGGCAACGTAGGGAGACTCCACCTCTACAAAAAATAAATAAAAATATTAGCCCGCTGTGGTGCTGTATGCCTGTGGTCCTAGCTACTTATGAGGCTGGGGTAGGAGGATCACTTGAGCCCAGAAGGTCCAGGCTGCAGTGAGCCAAGATCATGCCACTGTGCACCAGCTAGGATGACAGAGCAAGACCTTGCCTATCTGTCTGTCTGTCTCTCTCTCTCTCTCGATATATATATATATATGCGTGTGTGTGTGTGTATGTGTGTGTGTGTATATATATACACATTATATATATACATATACACATTATATATATACATATACACACACATATACATATATATACACATATATATACATATACACACACACACTCAAATACACATATTCATATACACACATGTATACAATATATACACATATTCATATTTTTTAAGTTGACCATGGTGATGGTTGCACATATCTGTGAATATACTAAAAAATTTTTAATTGTATACTTTCACTGGGTGAATAGTATGGTATGTGAATTATCTCTCAATAAAGGTAATGAAAAACTGACATTTAAATAACTTGTAAGATGTTATTTATGCCATAATTCCACTTATTTAAAAACACACAAAACAAATTTTTTTAATGTTTAAAGACAGAAATACAATATATGTCTTAAAATTAATTTGGGCAGAAAACAAACATTTTAAAATAATGAGTTAGCTTGAGAAAGATTTTTAAAGTGAGTAAATTGGGGAGGATGCAAAGGGAGCTTCAACCACATCTGTAATGTTATATGAAAATATTAAAGCAAAAGCAAAATAATTGTGTAAAAGCATTGTGGTATTCTCTAAAATTTTTAATAGATCTTTTTTGTTGGCTTTAGTTAGGGCCAATTGACATAAGCAGCAATTATACTAATTGCTAAGCCAATATTTGTCTCTTAAGCCAATATTTGTCTCAAGAGAAACAAAGTCTATGAGATCCCTCTACTTGGTATATTTGGAATAGAAATAAGGACATGGATCTATAGTTAATGAGGACTTGCTGTACGTTACATCCTTTAACCTTTTTAGTCTCTTTTCCAAACTTTTTTCTCTTTCTACCCTATTTTTCTCAAGTGCTTTGACTGAAAATAGATGTAATATAACCTAACAACTATCTGACTAATGCAAGGATTTTGTATATTATCTTCTTTTAATACAGTCTAAATCCTGACATTTTCCCCCCACAAATTACCTGGCTATAGGCTCAGTCTCAGTCTGGGTTGTTGTTGAGCCACAGATAATAACCATGGGTAACCAGCATGTAAAACATTCTGACTTAGCAACTATAAGACCAAGACTTTGCTTTGCTAGATATCTTGGTTCCTCAACATGGGAGTAACAACACTTCCAGAGTATATGAAATGCCTTTTGCAAACTAAGAGTTAAAATCCTCTCTAGACCTCCTATCACCTTAGACTAATGATTTCAGCGCAAAGGCCTTCCAGATCTCCCATCTCCTCTCATTCCCTCTTCTCTGTTCCGCTCCTCCACGTGCTGAACATGGTTCTCACGGCTGATTTATCAACTTTAGACCATGTGTATCTATTGCCTTTCTGCCACAATAGGCAAGGATTCAGCACACACTATTACCCACCTTTCCTTCCTCTCGCCTCCTCATTTTTGATATTTAGATAACTATTTTAATTCATCTATTGCTTATCTTTATTGTTTTAATCATTAAACTATTTGAACGTATTCAATTCAATCTCAACTCCAGTTTGTAAAATGAGAATATTAACACTCTTATTTGCCCTCCATCTCACTTTCCCCTTCTACCTTCCGTCCATTGACAGCTGCCTCTTTGCTTTTCCCTTTTCAAAGCTGATACTATTTATAGTCTGTTCTATATTCATAACTGTGTGTTCCATAATTTTTAAATGTCGGCTTCTCAACTCAAGTGATTTCCAAAGAAAGATATTATGACAGGGTTAATTTGCAAGTATTGTTTTGGCTTACAAGGAGATTTTAATGTAGTCATTTTGATGCAGCTTCATCGAAATATAAAAATTCTCTATTGTTTAAAACAAGAAATAGAAATGTATGCGGTAGACTCCCCTAAGCCTCACCCCATCTCTGAACATAGGAGAGGATAGGAATGGGGTGAGGCTATTTATGATGCACATTGCTTGATCTTAAGAAAACAAATGCTTAATATGATTTGCACAGTAGGCCACCTCAAAAATGTCATGTACCTTTTGTCTTCCCCTGTGTTGTGAAGGCATATAATCAGAGGAAAATATTGGAAAACTCAATTATTTCCTAAATTTGGGGCAGACTAGATGGCCAATCTAAATGAGAATAATAACAAAACCTTATAAGAGAATATGTCTAACTATGCAAATACCCCTATGGGGAGATGTAGCAAAATTACAAAGGACAACGCTTTATAAAAATAAAATCTTGTCTGAAATGCCAATGCTAAATCTCTTCAATAAAATATAGGCTTAAGATAAATACTAGAATTTCTCATTCATCTCTAGTCTTCTGAGAAGGCTGTAAAAGAATCATTGTTCTCTTTGTACACATACCAGCCCACTCACAATTTAAGTGACTCCCCTGAAGCCATAATAAGGGTGCCAGTATGTTGCCACTAGAACCCAGTCTCATAAAGCTTGAAAACTGCTGTAAGACAAAAATCAGTCTTGGATCTTGTACCACAAATTTTAATTCTCAGAAATGTCAGAATACATATTCCTGTAGAAAAACTCCCAGTCTGCATTATGGTGAGGCTTCAGAGTGTTTGACAGTTCATTCAACTGTCCTCCCACAATGTTCAGCATTCTGTTAGATAAGTTAGATTTAGTTTCCCTTCATGAATGAAGAGAAGTGGACACTTCCTTGTGCAGACATCCATCTGCCTATGTCTTGCCAGAGTATTTTTGAAAGAGAGAAGAAGAAAAAAAGATGTTTAAAAAGGAGTGCAATAGTTGTAAAAAATATTGATTCAATTGAGATTGACTTTCAGATTAACATTTGAGGCTGTAAATTTGCTTAAGACCTCTCAAACAGAGCTGGCTGCTGCTTCTGCTTAATTTTAAAAACAAGAATTCCTGCCCAAATCTCAGGTGAATTAAGAGCACTCATGGCCAGTCAAGTCAGCATAGAAGCAAAAAAATCAATCGAGTTTTAGATATCATGTCAAGCAAGAATTGCTTAGCAGATAACCTCCATGACTGTCTGGATCTCACATTTAATACAGAACTCAAATGGGAGACCGAAGAGAGGGGTGGCATGGAAAGCTCCAGGAACTTCTACTCTGTTCAAGTGACCAGTAATTCACACGCAAGAAATGGTGAGTTTCCCAATCAGAAAGGCAGAAATGGAAATAAAGAGGAAATTGTTTTGGGGAAAGAAACATTCTAGAGTGAGTTGCACTGACACTGAGCTGTCACCAGCACACTGAGGTAAAAGAAGAAACATTCCAAACATGAGGATGTCATTCATTTTTGCTGGGCTATGTAGGGGAAGTTGACCAACTCCAGTGAGCTCTTAGGCAGCAGACTGAGAGGGTGAAGGAGAATCCTGCGGGTGGTCAGGAACCTTCAAAAGTACAGCTCTCTCTGCATCAGCTAAGACAGCTCAAAGAGTTAAGATCAATTGATCTGGGAATTAAAAGTAATCCTGTAAGGGATCTCATTAAGCTGTGACATACTAAAGTGAAGGACAAGGGTACAGAGCAGGCTCTGGTGTACGCACACCTAACACACATAAACCCTTCCCATATGAATGTGGACAAACCCAGGGGGTGCCCAAGGGACCCAGAAATTTCTCATGCTATCCTGATGCCACAGCTCAGGATTTCCTTCCCCTCTCAAAGGCTGCTATGGGAATCTACTCTTCTTCCACTCTGAGTTAGATGAAATACTTAGGGTTCATTAAATAGACTTATTCTCTGATATGTAAAAGTCTTGTTTCTATCCACCGTTTTCACAGAGTAATCAGAAGCTCTTATGCGCAAATTAACCTGATATGATCTGAGGGAAAATGGAAGGTTAGGATGGAAGGAAAACACAGAGGGATGCCTTCTATTTCATCATCTATAAACCAGGAAAGATGCTCATCTATACAGCTTCTTGCCACCTACAACTGGGTGGGGGGGGGCCCATTCTGATCCCTCATCCTCTAGACGTAATGCACAAAAATATTTTAGGAAATATTCCCTTTGTAAAATATACACTATATAGGCTTATTCTTTGCAAATTTCAGAAATGCCATGTGCAGCTGTGGACTAAATGGGCTCCAAAAGAGTTGTGCAACATGGTGGCCCTGAATACCTTGTACCCCAAGATTCATTTTTTACCCATATGGAAAATATCTTCATTGCACATCTACTATGTGTCAGGCTTTTTTCTGGAGGCTGAGAATACAGCAACACAAATGGCAGGGTCCCTGTATTCATGGATTTTTACATTCAACAAACAAGTAAATGATAAATATATAACCTCAAGGAGCAATAAGTACTGTGAGGAAAAATAAAGGTTAAGGAAATTGGCAGGGAGGAGAGCAGGTCAGCTGCTTTAGAGAAGATAATTAGGTAACACCTGTCCAAGTGGTAATAGGTGAGCAAAACCTGAGTGATGTGAAAGAACAAGCCAAAAGAAAAGTGTAAGTTTTATTAGGGGTGTGATGGAAAGCCACTGTAGGGCTTGGAGAAGGGGAGTGAAATGACTGATGGTGTTTTATAGAGACCAGTCTAGCTGCTGTAAGAAAAACAGACTTTAGAGAATCAAGAGAGGGTACAGGGAGACCAGTTAGCAGGGAACACCAGCGAGAGATGACGATGGCTCAGGAAAATGCAACCAAATGAAGGTGATACATGATTAGAGTCAGCATATTCTTTGAAAATCAAGTGTATGGCTGATGGATTGAATGGAGGGAAAAGATGAATCAAGGATGTCTTTTAAGTATTTGGCCTAAGCAATTAGATGAAAGGATGTATCATGCACTATAGTGAGAAAAGACTCGGGAGGAGCAAGTTTAGGGGAATGGGGAGCCAGGAGCTTCGTTCAGGATATTTGAAGTTTGAGATACCCATTAGACATTCAAATAGGGATGTCATAGGCAGTTGTGATGCAAGCAAACCCAAAATTAGGGCTCAGCTAGGATGGTTCTTGGCTTTGCACCAGAAAGAATATAAGAGAGAACTGATAAAGTGAAAGCAAAGCAAGTTTATTCAAGCAACAGGGTACAGGAAAATGGCTGCTCCATAGACAGAGCAGAGCTGGCCCATAGGCAGAATAGCACAAGTGGACTGCTGGCTAGCTATATTTATAGCCACTCCTTAATTATATGCTAAATAAGGGGCAGGCTATTCATGAATTTTCTAGAAAAGGGACGGGGAGTTCCTTGAACAGAGGGTTCCTCTCCCTTTTAAACTATATAAGGTAACTTCTGGGCATTGCCATGGTATTTGTAAATTATCATGGTGCTGGTGAGAGTATCTTTTAGTATGCTAATGCTTTATAGTTACTGTAAAATGAGCAATTAGGGCAACTAGCAATTGTTTTTGTTGTCATCTTGGTTTTAGCTGGTTTCAGCCAGTTTCTTGAACTCCTTACATAGTGATCTACCCGCCTCAGCCTCCCAAAGTGCTGGGATTACAGGTGTGAGCCACCACACTCAGCCTCAGTTGTTTTACTGCATTCTGTTTTGATCAGCAGCCTCGTGAATGGGGTCATGACCAGTACCAGGAAAACAAGTGCTGCTGATCTCCCGTCTCAGTTGGACATGCAAATCCAGAGCTTAAAGTAGAAGTCAGAACTGACTGGAGATATTAATTTGGAGGTAATCAACCATGTGTAACATACCACATATTAGAATAAAGTTTTCTCCCCTTCTACTTGACCAATAAAGCTTTGCATTCTATTTACTTTCCTGTTGAGAAAAGGTACTCAGTGGAAGTTTAAACACTTTCCACAAAGAGTGGAGTTCACTAATGGTGAAAGATCCTCCAAAACTTTCTTATGAGCACCACCCAGAGCTTGTTCCAACTGAGCTTGTTTAGTTGGAAGTTGTTCAAGCTCCTGATGTATATGTAATTTTAGAAATGCATTTGGCACAAGGTATACATATATCAAAACATCTTGGTGCAAACCATAAATATATACTATTTTTACTTGTCAATTAAAAAAATTTTAAAGAAATGCGTTTGGGAAAATCACCCTCTACTTACCTGCTTACAGTTACCATGTCTCCCACCTGGCCACACACACAGCTATGGTTAATCTGAGCTCTTGTTGGTACTGTGATTCCTCATGAGAAAATCAGCTAATTCTATTTGCCCTCCTTTCCATTTTCCTTTTAGTATTCACACAGAGTGGATTTATTAAAAGGACTCAGAGATCTTGCACAGAAACCAAGAATGGAGATGTAGCCAAGACTCAGGAAAGACCTAGAACCAGAAATAGGAAAGTCATCAGGATAGAGATATCCTTCCTTTCTGTTTTTAAGTATCTGTGTCAGTCTTTTTCAAGACAGATGCACTCTCCCTATTTTGTGGTCTACATGGAGGAATATGGCCACCCACAGGTAAACCCAAGTTCACGTGCATAACAGACTATATCACTGGCTTTGATTCTTCTTACCACCCACCACTCATCCCTTCAGTCCATATCGATGCCATGTGCCATATAACTGCAGCTCTATCAAGGGGCAGAGTGCACTGGGGTCAGTCATTGACTTATTTGGCCAACAGAATGGGGCAGAAGTGAAAGCGCCACTTCCAAGCCTAGCTTCTATGAGATCTGTCACATTTCTACTGGTATCCTTGTACTTCGGGCATTGCCATAAGAACCTTGCAGCATAGGCCACTAGTGCCAGGATGAGGATAAAAGGCACATGTAATAGAGCTGCTCAGCTGGGCCCAGACTAGAACTGCCAAATCCCTGGCAAGCACACATACATGAGTGTAAATAAATGATGGTCATGTGACCCTGAGATTTGTGGGTGTTTTGCAGCATTACTGCTCCCAGAGCTAAAGGACAAGCTAAATGACACATGTTACAGTGATAGCCACCCCCAGAGACTAACTTATCTCTGTCTGAATCCCAACTTCACTTTCTGAGGAAACAGACTATAGTGGATTCAGCTTGAATCAAGTGTGAACACCCATGGCTGGGGAAGGTATTCAAGGCTGTACATATAAACATGGCTATCGGTAGCCCATCCCTGTGGATCAAGAGAGAGTTCTCAAATGAAGGTAGAGATGTGGTGGCTATGGTGAGCTGAGCGGGCACCCAAAAGGAGTCAACTTCTACTTTATGTACAAAATGCTTCCTAGAGCAAGAACTGCCTTTAGGTAAAAATTATTTACCATGACAAAAACTGTCTCCTGCAAGAAAATTCTGATCCCATAGGCAACTGAACTTTGAAGAAAAGAAAAAGAATGAAAAACAGCCATATGCTTTAAAAAGGGAAGATAGAGAGCAAGGAGAAATGTTTAACTGCAATAAATCACAAGCTTAGGGTAGAATTTGATCAATGGTTTGCAAGGAAATCAAGGGTGAGGTAAGTAATTTCTATTCCTCGGCACTCACTCTTTTGTGAATCCATAAGCCTTGGCTGCTACCAGCCATTCCGTGCAACTGGCCATCAGGCATAGATCTGAGCCTGGCAAAGGATAGGGACTAGTCTCTTAGTGAATAAAAAAGATCAGGGTGGAAAGGTAAAGTTGAGACATAATCACAACCATTTCAAATTTATTGAGTACAACATAGGTAATATTAGACCTTTACTTGAATGGTGAATTTAAAATCAGAGAGTTATTACATTGCAAAAAATTGATTTATTCAAGTTAGGTAATTCTGTCTCCTCTAATCACCCTTTGGGAAGATATAATGAGAACTTGTAGGTTTTGAACATTCAAATCGAAAAAATGTTTATAATAATGTACACAGTTTCATTTGCATCTACTATTTAAATTTCTCTGATTACCAACCCATTTCTTAGAATGTTAATGTGAGAGTGGAGATTATATTTTTACTTTACATGTCACTTCAAGAGAGGAAATAGCTGATTATGTTTTCACCCACTTACAAATAGAAGCATCCATATATACATATATTTGAAATACCATTATTATTACACAGACCACATATGAAATTTAAATGGAATAGTACACCATATTGTAAATTATAGCCAAATGGACTATGAATACTTCTTTGTTTGGTTGGTTGGTTGGTGCTGTTTTGTTTTGTTTTTGAGACGGAGTCTTGCTCTGTCCCCCAGGCTGGAGTGCAGTGGCACAATCTCAGCTCACTGCAACCTCCACCTCTGGGGTTCAAGTGATTCTCCTGCCACAGCTTCCTGAGTAGCCTGGATTACAGGCACGCACTACCACACCCAGCTACTTTTTGTATTTTTAGTAGAGATGGGGTTTCACCACGTTGGCCAGTCTTGTCTCAAACTCCTGTCCTCAAGTTATCTGCCTGTCTTGGCCTCCCAAAGTGCTGGGATTACAGGCATGAGCCACCGCCCTACGAATAATTCTTTGAACAACTGAAATAATTCTGAAAGTAGTACATGATACTTGCCAAAAATAATGCTTACTGAAGGATTCTATTTGGAAGCAATTAATAATTAATAATAGTATCATAATGAGTGCATTTTGGGGGGTACATGGTGTCCTACAAAATACTTGCCAGGCAAGCAATAAAATTTTGAACAAATAATCTAATTTAAAGAGAAAGGTAAAAGAAAATTGAGATGAAATGAAAAGCTGTTCCAAATACTTTATAAGAAATCATACTGGGACCAGAGTCAGCCAGCAGCAGCTGCCACTCTGAATTTCAGTTTTCATGAAAAACTAGAAGAGCTAGTCTTCAGCTTGTGTTTTTTCCTAGGCAAAAATCCCTGAGGCAAGTAAATTCAAAGCACTGTGAACAACTCTAAGGGTGAGTTGGTCTTACCCTCTACCCTAGACCTACTAAATCTGATTACCCAAATGGATTAAGAACCTGTGTTTTTAATAGGCACCCCAGGTGATTCTGTTGTACAGCTAAATTTGGAAACCATTGCTCTGGAGAGAAAAATAGAAAGCTAATGCTGACACAATTGGTGCATCTGTGATGGCACTGAAGCAGGCATTCAGAATTCTCAGGAAATGCCAAGTCAGGAATGGCCTTTTTGGCTCAATACCCCACCCATTTGCCCCTACCTCCCAGGAGCTAAGAATTTTCCTTTCTTTAAACATCTCACTTAGGCAATGTGGTACAGTTGGGGTGCGTGACTCCCGACAGTCTCTGCAGCCCCTGTGTGCCCTGATTGCCGAGGGAAGGTTGGCACTGATGGAAACAGCATGACTGAGAGGTGGACAAGTGGAAAGTGCTGCCCTTCAATGACACAATCCTCTGAAGCTCAGGCTGTAGTTTAGATCTTTCCTTAATGTGAATAAGGTCAATTAAGTTTCCTTTCTTTAAACTACCTTTCTAGCATAGGATTTTAAAACTTTTTTAACATCTCAAGTGAAAACTAGATCCATCCAATGATGTGAATGATTTGGAATCAAACTGGCACAGGGTCCAAAATGAATCTCTAAATTATTTAATCTCTAAATTGTGTATTTATTGGGGACTGGACTACAAAGAGGAGCAACCGACCACAGGCATGATTTACTTTTAAATGTGTGTTTTAAATCTATGTTTGTGCTCTTTTACATTTGAAAATTTAAATGCCACATTTAATTCACAAACCCTTCCTTGTGTATTGATTTTTAAATTATGTCATCATAACCGTACCACGTTGCCTAAGTGACATTATGCTACATGATAAACTGCTAATAATGAAGACCTAAAAAGAGCCTCCATCTGCCCATCAGCTTTCTGAAGAGCAATCAAGGCAGCACTTGTGCTAAACTGTGCTTAAGGTGCCATGACTCCCGATAGTGTCTGCAGCCCCTGTGGGCTCTGAGAACCGAGAGAAGTTTGGCACTGATAGAAATAGCATAATTGAGGGGGAGACAGGTAGAAAGTCCTGCCCTTCGATGACATGCTCCTCTGAAGCTCAGGTTGCAATTTCAATCTTTTCTTTAATGTGAATAAGGTTGATTGAGTTTAAGGAACCTGCATTCAGGGATCTCATCATCTTTAGATTTCCAACACAATTGGAAGGACAAAATCTACCTCTCTGACCCTTGTACACTGCTTTTGATGGTCACCAAGAACAACTCAGGCCACTACAAAAAGAAGGCAAAAAAAAGAGCCTACAGAGTAGTGGAAATAAGTAGACATATAACTTATATATAAACACACACATGTACATACACAAACATAAAAGTGTATGCCAATGTGGGAGGCAGGATGCATAAGAAGCAAGAGGTTGGATACACTACAGGAAGAAAACAGGGAAGGCCACTGGGGCAGAACTTACCCAGTTCTCTTTGCATGAGGAATAAGAAGCCACTTCTTAAAAGTCTTCCTAAAAGAAAGGAGAATAAAGTTATACAAACTTGGTCCAAGAGCGCTAGGTCAGTACAGGAAGGAAAAGGAAATTTAGGGACAGTTGTTTGCCTGAGTCACAGCAAAAGAGCCTGGAATACACGAAATGAAAAATAAAAGATTTCTTTCACTAAATTTTCAGTCAGGTACAGAGCATGAAAAACAATACTCCTCTGGCCTGTGTAACAGAATATGAAGGAGTTAATCATCCCTTCTCACTTCCAGGGAATGTGGAGCTCATCAGAGCAGAGGGATACAGCAGCCTGGGCATGAAGTTGGACCTGCCTCCTTCTGGAATCAGGGAGATGTAGGAGAGAATGGCAGAGGGAGGAAGAGAGGGCAGTCTGGCAGAGAGTACTAGCTCCTAAGCTCATGTGAGGCATCTCAGGGCTTTCTGAACCAGCTGGAGAGATCTGAGAGCCATCTCCGTTTCCACAGTTATAGACAGGAACAGAGGTAGAGAAATACCTTTTTTCTTTCTTACATTATGACCTCATAGTAACCCCCATGAAGGCATGACCTGGGGAAACAGGAGTTATCCATTTTTTAAAGAATGTGATGATGTATCAAAGATGACTCATGTCTTGATCTAGCATGTGGCGTTATAGATGGATAAAAGGAGACATTTATGTATGTACACATACACACATGCACACACATGCATACATGTATTATGGTTGCGATCATGTTTAAGTATAGACACACTCTTTTCTTACTTTATTAAAATACTGAGTTTATTTCACATATATATTTTTGTCTCCCCATCATTTCCATGTCTGATCACTGCTACCATTATATCGTATCACAACATTACATACATACTTAAAACCAAAGGGTGGAGTTCCATCTTTAAAAACCAAATAGGCATTTTGGACAACAAATTCTTGGCGATGGAACCTGGAAAACATTTATTAAACACAGTAGGAAAAGTTCTCACTCTGCATCACAGAGAGGACAACCAGATATCAACTGTTACAGAAATGAAATGAGATGAAATTTTTTTAACAAATTGTCTAAACTCTTTTCTTAAAGTGACTCCCTCCACTGCCAGAGATCTTGAATAGCCTCCTGGTCAGTTATCTGGAAGCAATTCTTCACATAACTGATGAGCTTAGCTTCCACTTTAGGAAGAGAACCACCTTGTTCTATACTTGCTTGCATTTTTGCTTTAATGTTTTCTACAGGACTAGATCCTTTTTGTGTTTCAGGAGATTTTTTCCTGTTTTTTTGTTTTGTTTTGTTTTGTTTTGTTTTGTTTTGTTTTTGAGATGGAGTCTGGCTCTGTCACCCAGACTGGAGTGCAGTGATGCGATCTCGGCTCACTGCAAGCTCCGCCTCCCGGGTTCACGCCATTCTCCCGCCTCAGCCTCCCAAGTAGCTGAGACTACAGGTGCCCACCACCACACCTGGCTACTTTTTTGTATTTTTTAATAGAGACAGGGTTTTGCTGTGTTAGCCAGGATGGTCTCAATCTCCTGACCTCATGATCTGCCCAACTCGGCCTCCCAAAGTGCTGGTATTACAGGCGTGATCCACTGCACTCGGACTTTTTTCCTGTTTTTTGAAGGATTCTTGACCTTTTGATCTGGGTGTTAGTGGTTTTAAGTCTTTTCCATTCTGGCTTCACTTTTGTGCACTTTTGGCTGGTATATCTTATATAGATTTTTTCACCGGAGTTTTTCTTCAGTTTCCTCGTCATCTTCATCATCATCATCATCATCATCATCATCATCACAGCAGGTTTTACTTTTTTCCATGGAACCCTGCTACCACCTGCAGGAGCAGATCACTTTCCAGATATACCTAAGAGTTTCACGTCCCCCACCTCATCTTCTGATTCTGCATCTTCCTCCACAGCTACTAAGTGCTGTCCACTAATATGCACTGGCCCTAAACCACACTTCGATTGTAAGACCACAGGTAGTGGTATTTCAAAGCCCCCAAGGGAAACTGTTGCCTGCACAGACATTTTCAAAGTTGCCAGTGTTACTTTAATTGGACTACCTTTGTAATTCATTGCTTCTGCTTCAACAATGTGCAGTTCATCCTTCGCACCAGCCCCTAAACTGACCGTTCTTAAAGATAACTGGTGCTTATTTTCATCATCATTCACCTTAAAGTGATCATCTTTGTCGGCCTTTGGTTCACAATTGAAAAGATAGGTCTGGGGCCTCAAGGGGCTCATATCCATGTTCATCGAATCCTCCATGGAAGGGTGGCATGCACTTATGTGGGAGAGAAGGCAAACAGAGATAAACGACTACTGCTCCAGGGAACGGCCCCACAGAACAGAATCACACCCAACACATACATTCTTATACGCATTTTTGTTCTTTTTTGGCTGAAATAACAACTATTTCTGATGGGTTTAATGACAATCCAGATGGTGGGTGGTGATGCTATTTCCCAAGTAGGGAAAACCGGGAGAGGAATCAGAGTGGCTCAGGGGGAATTATTAACAAGAAAGAGTTCAGTTCAGGACACATTCAGTTTGAGATGAAAATGTTAAGTACGCAGTGGATGCACTATGTGGGTTCAGAGGAGAGATTGCAGGAGATGTCAAATGGGGCATCATCAGCATTTCAAGTCATGGCCCCAGGTGAGCTCTCCTATGAGGAGAGGGTAGATGGAAAACGGAAAACAGCCTAGAACTGAGCCCATGGAACCCTAGTTTTGTGGCTGGATCGAGGAAGTGGAAGAATGAGGAAACTAAGCTTTATGTTGAATTCAGTTGAATTTCGTAGAATTGTGTCTCTCCAATTATAATCCTTGGTTTACCCTAAGGGGAAGGGTTCTATGATCAAATTATATGGGATATCTCTCATATACCACTCCCTCTGGGAGTTTCAGAGGACCAGAGCAATACTTACAGATGAAAGATTCTGAGATGTCCTTAAAGGAAAAAGTTAAATTTTAAAAGAGCATTTCTTTAAGTCAGGGGTTCTTGGAATGTGATCCCCAAACCTGCAGTATGAGCATCACCTGAGAACTTGTGAGGAATGTTCATCCTCAGCTCCCCGCAGACTTACAGAATCAGAAGCTCTAAAAGTGAGACCCTGCAGTCTGTATTATAATAAGCCTGCCACAGTGACTCTGATGTGTGATTCAAAGACCACAATCCCAAACATTTGGCCGTTTTTCTTTTGTTGACAAATAAGTGCTTTCCAAAATGTCCTAGTTGGAAAATATTGTTACTGCAAACTCCAGTTTTAAGATCTTTAGTTTAACAAACTTTACAGTGCAGAATCACTATTAAGAATTAAATTCACAGCTGGGCACAGTGGCTCACACCTATAATCCTAGCACCTTGGGAGGCCAAGTTGGGCGGATCACCTGAGGTCAGGAGGAGTTTGGAACCAGCCTGGCCAACATGGTGAAACCCCCATCTCTACTAAAGACACAAAAATTAGCTGGGTGTGGTGGCCCACACCTGTAGTCCCAGCTACTTGGGAGGTTGAGGTGGGAAGATCGCCTGAACCCAGGAGGCGGAGGTTGCAGTGAGCCAAGATTGCACCACTGCACTCAAG
This sequence comes from Homo sapiens, assembly GCF_000001405.40. Taxonomy (NCBI): domain Eukaryota; kingdom Metazoa; phylum Chordata; class Mammalia; order Primates; family Hominidae; genus Homo; species Homo sapiens. Next base: position 112,519,169 of record NC_000007.14, on the reverse strand, counting down.
CCTGGGCAAAAAAGCAAGACTCCATCCAAAAAAAAAAAAAATTAAACTTACTATCTCACTTTTTATACATTTGTTGCTAAATCATCATGCCCCAAAATATTTCTATCAATTAAAAAGTGGCTTTTTGCCAACAAACACACTTGGTTATATGCCAGTCTATGATACATTTTAAAATACGCTTTGTTTTGTTGTTGTTTTTTTGAGATGGAGCCTTGCTCTGTCGCCCAGGCTGGAGTGCAGTGGCGTAATCTCGGCTGACTGCAACCTCTGCCTCCTGGGTTCAAGTGATTCTTGTGCCTCAGCCTCTACAGTAGTTGGAATTACAGGTGCAAGTCACCATACCCAGTTAATTTTTGTATTTTTTAGTAGAGACGGGATTTCACCATGTTGCCCAGGCTGGTCTCAAACTCCTGACCTCTAGTGATCTGCTGGTCTCAGCCTCCAAAAGTGCTGGGATTACATATGTGAGCCACCATGACCAGCCTCAAATATGTTTTTAAATTTTACAAATGTAGTGATCTCTTTTGCCTTCCGAAACAGATCAAATTATCTACACCTGCACTATCTAATAAGTTAGCCCCTGACTATATGTGGCTATTTACATTTAAATTGCCTTAAAAAAATGTTAACAGTTTCTCAGTCACACTATCCACATTTCAAGTGCTTGATAGCCATGTGTAGCTCACACATACCACATCAGACAGTGCATATCTGGAACATTTGGTGAACAGCACTGATTTCGATTATGAAGAGTTCCTCACTTTTGTTACCAATGAATCCCTCAGAGCCAGCATTTTTTAGAAGAACGCAATTGTGATATGTGAGTGTGATCCTCATTTTTCCAGAGGATATCAGTCTTGATGGAGAAGATTAGGGAGGCGCAATGAAAAACTCAGCTAAGAAAGTCAGTGGTCGGCCAGGTGCAGTGACTCACGGCTGTAATCCCAGCACTTTAGGAGGCTGAGGCGGGCAGATCATCTGAGGTCAGGAGTTTGAGACCAGCCTGACCAACATGGTAAAACCCCATCTCTACTAAAAATGCAAAAATTAGCTGGGCATGGTGGTGAGTGCCTGTAACCCCAGCTACTTGGGAGGCTGAGGCAGGAGAATCGCTTGAATCCGGGAGACAGAGGTTGCAGTGAACCAAGATTGTGCCATTGCACTCCAGCCTGGGCGATAGAGCGAGACTCCATCTCAAAAAGAAAAAGAGAGAAAGAAAGAAAAAAGAAAAAGAAAAGAAAAGAAAGAAAATCAGTAGTCTAGAACTTTAAGCTCAAATGTCTCCCTCATTTTTCTACACGGAGTCTTAGGCATCCCATGCTCCAACTCTGTTGAAGTTCCCCTCCTGTTGCCCTTGAAATCCTCTCCTCTCACCACTTAACAGCCTTGTCCAGCCATCACCCCTTTACCACCACTGCTGCTGCTGGTGGTGTCAATTCTCACTGCCGTTGTCATTCTCACCACATATTCTGGCCACTCAGCATCTTTGAAACCCCCTTTTCTGCTCTTCGGCACTCCCACTTTATGAATCCATGCTTTCTTAAACTAGATGCCTTCCCCTTGCTAGTCTCCCTTGCAGTCTGTGTAGAAGCCTTTGACCTAGGCTCCACCAGTCAGGTGCATCCATGGGAGATTTCAGTTTGGGAGAAAGCAATACAATTAAAAGGCACCACCCAGGCACTATGTGATAGCATGCTGGTGAGGATGGCAGAGGGTGGCCACAGAGATGTTCTGCTTTCAGCGGGAGCAGGGGCAACGGTCTGAAGGTAGTGCCCCATGCTCAATGTCAGCAAGGCAAATCCCTGTCCTGGCTCAGCATGGCAGGAGGACCACCACCGGAACAACCCACTGATGTGACTTGCATCGTATTCCTGGCTATAAAACATCCAAAGCCCCATTCTGTGGCTTCTTGGAAATTCTGTGAGCTGTCTTTTAATATGTTCCTTTTCAGCTCAAATTAGCAAGAGTGGGTTCTGTCGCTTGTAAATGGCATCCATAGCAGAAATTCCTACCCAAGTTGGAACGAGTTCTCTTTATAGCATTTACCCACACACATTGATTATGTGGCTTGTGTCAGACTCTCTGCCAGGGACTGGAGATACAAACATATAGGGGATTTGTTCTCAAGGGGCTTAAAATTCAGGCAAAGAAACAGATCAGGACACCAATAAGGACTTTAAAATACTGTCGGTGGTCGTGACAGAAATACAAATGTGGCATCGTGGAGACCCAAAGGACAGGAAGGAGGAAAGCAAACTGGGGAAGTCTTTAAGGAGAAGATGGCTCTTGAACTCAGTTGTCAAAGATAAACAGGTGTTTGACAGGCAGACAATAGGACAAAGGAAAGGAAAAAGCATGCAGCAGGGGGAGCAGGCTGCTTCAGTCTTCCTTGTTCTGGAAGGAATGGTTGAAGCGTGTGGTCAGATGGGGACAGGAAGAGTCCGGGCAGCAACAACAAGGCCAGAGAAACCATGAAAACAATAGTGTCATTTGAGTGCCTACTGTGTAGGTTGTTCTAACCATTTTACATTGTATTAACTCATTCATGCCTCATTACAACACTAGGAAGTGGATGACTAAATCAGCCTTACATGATAAAACACTAAGGCAGGCTGGGTGTGGTGGCTCACACCTGTAATCCCAGCACTTTGGGAAACTGAGGCGGGTGGATCACCTGAGGTCAGGAGTTTAAGACCAGCCTGGCCAGCATGGTGAAACCCCGTCTCTACTAAAAATACAATAATCAGCCGGGTGTGGTGGCAGGCGCCTGTAGTCCCAGCTACTCTGGAGGCTGAGGCAGGAGAATCGCTTGAACCCAGGAGGCAGAGGTTACAATGAGCCGAGATTGTGCCACTGCACTCCAGCCTGGGCAAAAGAGCGAGACTCTACCTCAAAAAACATAACATAAAAAATAAAACATTAAGGCAGAGAGAAGACTTGCCTGGGATACAAACACCTAGGGGGCAGCAGAAGAAAGGTTTTACCCTGCGATACAGCTCTAGAGTCCATACTTTTAACCACCCATGCTACTACAGCCAGTTGGGAACCAGTGCAGGGCGTCTTTATATTCCATTCTAAGGAGTTTGGACTTGACCTTCTAGCAGTGCTAAAAGGGTTTTGTTTTGTTTTTTAACTTTTAAGTTCAGGAGTACATGTGCAAGTTTGTTATATAAATTGTGTGTCATGGGGTTTTGGTGTGCAGATGATTTCGTCACCCAGGTAATCAGCATAGTACCCAGCAGGTAGTTTTTCGATCCTCACCCTCTTCCCATCCTCCACCCTCAAATAGACCCTGGTATCTGTTGTTTCCTTGTTTATGTCCATGTGTACTCAATGTTTACTTCCCACTTACAAGTAAGAACGTGTGGTATTTGGTTTTCTGTTCCTGTGTTAGTTTGCTAAGGATAATGCTCTCCAGCTCTATCCATGTTGCTGCAAAGAACATGATCTCGCTCTTTTTTGTAGTTTCATGGTATTCCTTGGTGTATATGTACCACCTTTCCTTTATCCAGTCTACTGTTGTAGGGCATTTAGGTTAATTCCTTATCTTTGCTATTATGAATAGTACACTAAAAGCTTTTAAGCAGGTGAGTGGAATGATCAGACTTGTGTTTTAGGAAAAACGCAAGGTATTTACAGAACAAGGCAGCCTGAGTATGGGTAGCTAAGCAGGAAGACCTGACTCTACTTCCCACGATGCACACACACACATACCTCCTCCTGGAGCCTGCCACACAAACCAGGACAACAAAAAGGAAAGCTTTTGGGAAAGGGATTCAAAACCAAGGAAGAAACAGCAACTCTTAGCAGAATATCTCACAACAGACTTGGGGCACAACCATAGTTCCCAACTTAGCAGCTTTGTGACCCTAGGCAAATTATTAGGTTGATGCAAAAGTAATTGCGATTTTTGCCATTGAAAGTAATGGCAAAAACTGCAATTTTGCACCAACCTAATACTTCACTGATTTAAGCTTCATTTTTTTTCTGTGAAAGTGGAGAAACAGAATGAAAATCCCTATTCCCAAACTCTGGGAGGAGGTCAGACGTGTTTTCAGAATTCAGATTTCTGGATGATAGAACAGTAGCATGGTGTATATGCCATGTATTATGTAACACACCCAGTGAGCTCTGATGCACTCCTCTATAATCAAATTCATTAATATTTCTGCAGCAAAACATGAATATTTACAACAGGTGGGATAAATCAAAACTAGAAAAAGTCTCACATAAGTTCTAGTTAGGTTTTGCTGTCAAAAGATTTCAGGTCAGGTTCATTTCACATTCAAATGAATTATGAAAAGCTTGAGGCTTTCAAAGATTTTTGGGTTTCCAAATTGTAAATAAGGGATTGTGCCCCTCTTATTATACTATTGCTTTAGAGCTGTTATAAGAATTAAGTGAGATAATGCATATAAAGCACTTAGGTCCTGCTATCCCTCCCAACTGTCAACGAATGTGACCCAGGATCCCAGCTATAGAGCCCATGTGCCTCAACTCTGCCATTTCAAAAAGAGTTCAACTGGAGCCGTTTTCATCCCCTCTTTTGATCGTGGCTTCTAATCTTTACTGTCTGTGAGCCCTACCACCGATCATAATGCTTCCTCCATCATTTTTCTTGGGAATTCTAGCAAGTTGTCATGCAGTCGGGCCCCTCATGAAGTCCCCAGGTTCCTAAGGTGGGTGCTATAGACCAGCCCACTCCACGTGCCTCGATGCACAGGCCTGTCTCCAGGACCATTCCCGGGAGGTGTGGAGCTATGGCAAATCACTGTGAGGGAACTTCCTTGCATCCATGATATTTTTGAAAGCAAAATGTTGCTAAAACCAGGAAAAGTGATCATTACATTTTACTAAATATGGGAAAGACATACCAGGGGAATCACACAGAATTTCAGCCAGGCAGCGTTCAGCAAGGAAACATTTATTGACTGTGTTTCAGGCATGACGCTGCTAGGCCACCTGCCCCACCCTTAAGGACAGCACAATTTCTATCCCTTCTTCTCCAACCCTCCATTATACTCCTTTATCTCTATCAGAGTTTTGCTGAAATCAGTATCACCATCATCATCATCCTTCCATGAATACAGTACTTTAAAACTTACTTAGGACTCACACACACATCACCTTGTTCCTGCCTTACAGCTGCATGGGTTATGATTAAACCTGTTTCACAGGTGAAAAAACTGGAGCTCTTGGAAGTCTGAAAGTTGCTACCTATGTCTTTATCTTTCTCTTCTGTGGGACACTGCCTCCTCGGCCAGACTTCCCACAGAAGGCAATTTTCATAAAATGCTGGTTGCTCCAGCAGAGGCCCTGGAGACAAAAACATCAAGCGATCCTGAGTAATGCATATCACACCCACAGACCAAGCCATCAATGCCATTTCGTGTGTTTGACTGGACCAACTCAGGAGGCTTCCCTGGACTGGCCATTAGGCCCAGGGTATAGAATGATCACAGTTCACCTGTCTGCAAAGAGAAGGAGAGCTCCTGAGTGTCGACACTTCCATCTCCATTACGAAGAACAGCACCTCCCACACTCTGACTGAGCATCAGATTTACCCTGAGAGATGTTTTAAACTCCTATTTCCAGGCCAGTCCCCAGAGATGCTGAGATCATCAATCTTAGGTAAAGGCTGGGAAGGTGTTCTTTCTTAGGTGCCCCTAGATGATTCTAGTACAAAGGCAGTCTGGGGAACCACTGACCTAGAAAAATCAAGAGACACGTATTACAGACAAACCACTTTAAACGTACCAAATCCTAATTTCTGGCCACTTAAAATGTTGTGGCCACACCAGGGACAGAAAGGAAATGGCCTGGGAATATTCATGCAAACAGCTGTAATAAATATTCCCTTTGGATAACTTTTGTACAAATGACATAGAGATGTTGTGAAGGAAGTATTAAAAAAATTAGGTGGAATGACACATGAACATTGGGTATCTAGCAGAGGCTCTCAGGCAGATTTGTGTGGGGGCTTGTTGCCCATTCTTCACCTCATTCTCTCTTTTTCCGCATTGCCCTCCCCTACCATCCCCAAGTAGGAGCTTATTTCAGTTGCAGGATAACACTTCAGAAATCAAATGGAAACTGAAAAATTACTTCTCTGGTTAGCATCTGTTTGGCAATATGTTTACTGCCTCTATTCAGCCCTGAGCAACTGCCAGGAAAGCCAAAAAGAGGGCAAGAGCTCTATTCATCTAATTACTTCAGCAGAAGAAAAATGTGTTAATTAACTGACCTTAATAATTCATATATATCTGAAGTGAGGGATCATTAGACTTGCACGCAGGGCCTGGCATCTGAGTAAAGGTTCAGTGGAACGATCTCACACGCAGCCTCATTTTGGAGAGCTGATCTATTTTTGTTTTCTTAAGAACAAATCTACCACCTCCAAAAATGATTGAAGAACTTTTCTGCAAATGACAGGTTTGCGGTAATACCTTGATTCCTCCAATTTCCTTAGCCCCTCAGGGGGATGTGAAATATTTTTAGAACCACAACAGCCTAACATATGAATTGGATTTCATTATGCTGGCTGCTGATTGGAACATTATACAGTAAAGGGGAATGTGACTGTGTGTGTCCTCTATAGACTTCCAAATAAGAATGAGGAGTGACAAGAATGAGGCTTGCTTTGCTGGGGAACTGATAGAATCATTCAAATCACAGTTCCCTATCAAATATGCTGCTGAACAGAAACCAGCCCAGGAAGTAGTACAACAGGCCTCAGCTTTTGAAGATAGTCTAAGGAAGAGAAAGGATGCTGATAATTTTATTCTCAAAGATAGTGGGACCCCTAAGCAGGTACACTGTTTACATTTGCCTTCCTGGGGTTTTGGCAGGGGGAGTGCAGATCCATTTTAAATCCACAGATAGAAAGGCAAAAGTGAATCATGGTGCATTTGCAATGGAAACAAATCATTTTCCAAAAGCATTTATGAAACAATTACACAGGCATCGTAGATGGAGAAGCACATAGACGGAGGCTGTGAGTCTATTTCACAGAGGACAAACAAAAAATGACAAAGAGTGGTAGGAGGTTCTCCAGAGGGTCAGCAAGACATGGCAGTGATGACAAAGACACAGCTGCCATGGCGGCCGGGCCAGAGCACCTGCCCCCTGGCAATGACTCCAGCCCATCAGGCCAAGGCTGTCACTGTAGTGTGTGCACCACAGCTGAGCCCCAGAGCCAGCCGCAGAGCAGGGGGATGCCTGTCCTTGCCAGAGGCCTCAGAGGAGGTGGGAACAGGCCAGGAGCACTGCCAACATAGGACCCCAGGTGTCCATGGGTTCCTGGGTGTTACAGGTTGAATTACGTCCCTCCTCCCAAATTCATGTGTTGAAGTCCTAATCCTCAGGGCCACAGAATGTTAATTTATTTGGAAATAGGGTCATTGCAGTTAAAATTAATTAATGAAGTCATCCTGGGGTTGGATATGCCCCTCATCCAAAATTTATCCATTTATAGAAAGAATGCCATGTGAAGAGGCAGACATACACGGGGAGAATGCCAGGTGAAGGTTGCAGTTACTGCTGCAAGCCAAGAAACTACCAACAGCTAGGAGAGAGCCATGGAATAGATCCTTCTCTAGCACCTTCAGAGGGAGCATGGCTCTGCTGACACCTTGATTTCAGACTTCCAGCCTCTACAACTGAGAAACAATAAGTTTCTGTTGTTCCAAGCCATCCAGTTTGTGGTACTTTGTTACAGCAGCCCCATGAAACTAAAACACTGGGCCATCAAGCCTATTTCTCCATCTATAAAATAGGGTTGCTTAAATAGCACCTGTTCATAGGATTGTTATGAGCATGAAATGAGACAACGCTGGTAATGTGGTTAGCTCTGTCCTTGGCATATAAAGGGCATTCAATAAAAGTGAGTTAGCTACTGTTTAAGGAGCTACAGAACCAAATTAGCAAAATAGTGGTGACAGTGGACATCCATCTGTAATCTTTACCCTCCTAGGTTTTGCTTGTACATCCCATGAATTGTGATACACATTTTTGATCACGATGGCTAAAATATTTATCTGCATGGCTGATTCACAAACACCACAACTCTCAAATCCTTCTTTCCATATCACTGCTTCACTAAATCACTCCTGGCTTTCAAATTCTCCACCAGCCTCTCTCTCTGCACCTTCCTCACTCCCTGCATCTCCATCCATCTCCACCCACATCATTTTCCTCTTTTCCCTTTCTGTTTGCTGTGCCCACCTCCAGCTATACATCTTCTTTGCTCTCCAGCTGCTCTGCCTGGAGCAATCTCCCATAAGAGTGGGCCCTCTCCTCCTTTCTTTAAGCCCCCTCTCTCATCCTACTGTCTGCTCAAAAAACCCATCCACATCCAATTATAGTGAATGAAAATGGGAGGCAGGTTCCCACTCATACCTAAACATCAACTACCTTCTAACCCTAACCCATGCACAGCTGATAAAAATAAACCTTTAAAAAACAGAGTGAGTCATATTAAAGCAACCTCTCCTCATTGCACCACAAGGAGCTGTGTCTCCACACCCTGCACAGAAACACTGCATGTGCATGACAGGGAGGTGTGCATGGATGCCAGTTCAGGAGAGAGAGCTTCTGGGGAGGTGGCCTGAGCCCCCTCACCTTCCCTGCCCTGCACTGGTGTCTACTAGACACCCCCAGGGAAAGGCAGAAGTAGAGCACCCAATAATTCATCTGTAAACCCACAGAAAGAAAACCACACCACACAGGCAGTCCCTTCCTCCCTCACTACTCTCATCACCATGAGTCAACCTTTTGGGATTTTCCTCCCACCAATTTTAGAAGCAGCATCCAAAATATGAGTTGAATCAAGTACAGCAGTGCACAAGTTTGTGGTGAGAGGAGCTCTTCTACTCTTCACCAACATCTTGTTATCAACAAGTAGATAGTAGATGGTTCGCATGTTTGCCTGCCAGCACCTCCCAGTTTCTTTTGAGGAACTGTTTCTTCCCTGTTCCATATGAGTCTCGTGATGCAATTAAGCACAAACATACACACAGAAACAAAATGGACCCGGATTGGGTCAATTATCATACCTCATTGCCCTGACAACAGTGACTGCCCTAGGACTAGGCATGAGCTATGACGACCCAGCAGAGCCCTTCTCTATGTAGGCGGAGAGTGAGAGAAGTGCCTTTTCCCACTGGGGCTAGTTGCTAAACTGGAAGGGTGTTTCCATGGGATTTTCATTAACTATCTCCCTCATTGCATTAGGAGAGCTTGCCTCCAGGAAGAGGACAATCCAAAGAGGGAGGACAGAGGTGAGAGACTGACAGAGGCCCACACAAAGCTATAGCAGCAGCATTCGAGCCCCAGGATCCTGCCAAACTTAAACCATAGCCACCCCCCAAGCACCCTCAGTTCCCCAGTTGGAGGAGTCTTATTTAGCCCAATTGGAGTCGGAGTCCTGGTACTTACAACCAGAGCTGATATTTAGCTCATTTACATCCATATAGTGGTAATGATACAGAAGGGCAGGGCTCTCGGTTAAATCCCACCCTTAAGCCTTGAACCACTCCCTAAGTGAAAACAGCTGAGCCTGTTTTTTTTTTCATCCAAATGTTGCCTTTTTAGCCTGCCCCACCCCTATCCTATGTCCGTTAAAGGCTTCAGCTGGCAGAGCAATACAAGCAGCTGAGTGTCAAGGATACAAGTAGCTAAGCAGTGAGCAGAAAAGTAACTGAGTGTCCGAGACTACAGATAGATGCAGCTAACCTCAGACAGCATGGTTTTGGAGAGGGGCCCCAGCCGAAGACGGCCAGGTTTCAGAGAACTATCACCTTTCCATCCCCTTTCCAGCCTCCCTTTCTGCTGACAGCCACCCACCGCTCAATAAAGGCTTCTGCATTCATCACCTTTTAAACAGTTTGTGTGACCTGTTTCTTCCTGGACACCAGACGAGAACCCGGGTGCTGAGCGGGTAGGGGCTACCACCCTGATCCTTCACTGCATTGGTTTGCACTTGGCCATCCCTGGACGGCAGAGCTGAAAGAGTACTGGTTGTACAGGGCCCGCACAGAGCCTGATCACGCCAGAAAGGAGCGACCAGCCAGTTTCAATGTTCATTCGTCCAGTTCTCACACTCACTGTTTCACACACTCCTGCGTGGAGTGGCCAGCAGCAGGCTGAGTGAAACCAGCCACTCCAGTTCCCACCTGCGAAGGGGGTCACGGGATCTTTCCCGTCTCATCATCTATGGCTTATGGTCAGCAGCCATTTTGACTGTGTTATTGGTTGTTTACTATTTTGATAATCACCACAGCTTTCAGCAAAAAAGTCCTGACCCATAGGAGTAGGTGGTTAGCAGTGCTACCCGGGCTGTGAGTGGGCAGCCTCCATTCCCTGCAGCCTATGGCTGCCTATTTAGAATTTCTTCCTCCCCAGATTCCACCACAACAGGGGATGAGACCTGAAAACTCTCTTTGCATCCCTGAGATGTGAGGGGGAGAGCTGCAGGGGCAAAACTAAGCTCTTATTCCTTATCTTGACATAGTCCCTGGCTAGAGACATCCCAAAAGACAGGACACAAGACTCCACAGGTATGTTGCATAAGGAGGAGATCAGAGCAAAGTCAAGGAAGATGAAAAATGACTGTTCAGAGAGCAAAAGTTCAGAGAAAGAGTGGGTACTCCCCCTCCTGGGAAGATGGCACTGCCCATAGAAGAATAATCACAGTTTTCCCTTTATAGGAAGACTGAGATATGAGTGGGAGGCTCATGAGCATTCCACGTGCTATGGACTGAATTATGTCCCCACAAAATTCACACATTGAAGCCCAAGCCCCCAATATGATGGTATTTAAAGATGGGGCCTTTGGGAAGTAATTAGGTTTAGATGAAATCTTGACTGTGGGGCTCTCATGATGGGATTAGTGCCCTAATAAGAAGAGATACCAGAAAGTTCCCTCCCCCTGTCTCCCCTGCCCCTCCTCCCCTCTCTTTTTGTCTCCCCACCATGTGAGGACACAGTGAGAGGGTAGCCATCTACAAACCAGGAAAGGGGCCCCCACCAGAAACCCATCACACCGGCATCTTGATCTTGGACTTCTGGCCTCCATAACTGTGAGAAAATAAGTTTCTGTTTAAGCCACTCAGTCGATGGTATCTTGTCATGTTAACCCAAGCTGACTAAAGCATCATGAAACCAAGAACCTGGCTGAGTATATGGGATTCTGAAAGCAATGGAGCAACCCAAAATGTTGAGAAAACAAGCTGAGAGCATGGTTCAGCCCCTCAGCCATGCAGGTGAGAGCAGGGGTACCCTCAGAATTTTGATGAATGACCCCAGGCTGCCCTGGCTTTTGTCTACGATGATATCCTGTTAATATTTAAGCTCAATGTTTGCCGACTCCACAGCATCCTCCAAACCAGGCAGGAATTTCAGCCCCACAAAGATGCTCTACGAACCCTCAAGAGGAGTCCTCAAAAACTATCCCACAGGTTCTCACAGATTGGTAGGAGCAGAGCAGCCGTCCCTACACTCCAGCCTCCACAGCTCCACCTTCCCCATGGCTCCTGCATGGCCTCTCCACCGTCCTGCTTACTTCACTCCCCAACGGGCCTCAGCAGTTCAGAGGCTGTTTATGTAAAGGACACAGGACAGGAGTGGCGTCTCTCTGTGTGATGCTCAGTTGTTGAGCCTCACCAGCCCCAAAGTGTGACAGGCCTTTGGGTCTTGATTAGGGCCACTTAGGCTGACTCAAAACCAACACAAAACTCTAAATCTTAGAAAGAAGAGACTGGAGTCCCATTCCATGGCTTCTTATGCAAACTGATCTATCTTCTCCCCAGATTTTAAACACTAATGCCACCATTCACCATAGTAAAAATATGGAATTAACCCAAGTGTCCATCAATGGATGACTGGATAAAGAAAATGTGGTACACATACACAATGGAAAACTATTCAGCCATTTTTTAAAAAAAGAATGAAATCATGTCGTTTGCAGCAACGTGGATGGAACCAGAGGCCATTGTCTTTTTTGTTGTTGTTGTTTTTAATTTGAGACAGAGTCTCACACTGTCACTCAGGCTGCAGTGCAGTGGCACGATCTCCACTCACTGCAACCTCCGCCTCCTGGTTCAAGCAATTCTCCTGCCTCAGCCTCCCGAGTAGCTGGGATTACAGGCACCCGCCACCATGCCCGGCTAATTTTTTTTGTATTTTCAGTAGAAACAGGGTTTCACTATGTTGGCCAGGCTGGCCTTGAACTCCTGACCTCATGATCCACCCGCCTCGGCCTCCCAGAGTGCTGGGATTACAGGCGTGAGCCACCGTGCCCGGCCTCAGAGGCCACTGTCTTAAGGAAAAAATCAGATGCAGAAAGATATCACATGTTCTCACTCATAAGTGGGAGCTAAATAATGTGTACAC